>NC_000002.12:195671436-195974466 GCF_000001405.40 Homo sapiens
AGCAGAACTCTTCAGTAGATGTAACTCAGCTGAACTGAAAAAATATTATCAATTATAAAACTAACATATTCTTAATGCATAAAACTTGGAAAACTCCAAAACACAAGAGACATAATAGAATATTTTGGCTTGGGCAAAGCTGTGTCCTATAAATGTCAGTTTTTAGGGTTGAGTGGTATATGGGCTTCTACCATTTCCCCCATTCCTGTCTCCATCTCAGAGATCCTCTTTGTGCTGTCGATGGAAAAGATTGTTAACATCTACTGGAATGCTTGGGAAACTCTGTAAGTTGGTGAGACCCTGGCCTCCTAGCCAATTGAGATCATGTGACTAACCCCTTGCCAATGGAATGTGATGAGAAGTGATGCCTGCAACTTCTACTTCCCTTGATACTGAAGAAGAAACTTCTGAACCTGGACTTCCATTCTTTCTCTTTCCCTGTTGGCTGGAATATCAACTATGTAAGAATGTTATGTCTCTGAATGACTGGAGCGGAGCTGCACTCAGACCCGGAGCGGTCATCTTTTTTTTTTTTAATGTCCAAGTGATTTAATATGGAGTAGTCATCTTCAACTGTTATTGAGAGAGACAAAAACTTGCCCATTTCTTAAACCACTGCCTTTTGAGAGGGGTCTCTTTGCAATCAATAGCTGCTTAGCCTGTGATAACAAAATGCATATTTCATCTAAATGATTTTTTTTTTCTTTTGAGACAGGGTCTTGCTCTGTCACCCAGGCTGGAGTGCACAGCACAGCACGATCTTGGCTCACTACAGCCTGGCCCTCCTGGGTTCAATCAATCCTCCCACCTTAGCCTGTTAAGTAGCTGGGAGTACAGGCATACACCACCACACCAGCTAATTTTTTACTTTTTTTGTAGAGATAAGCTCTCAGTATGTTGCCTAGGCTGGCCTCAAACTCCTGGGCTCAACCATCCTCCTGCCTTGGCCTCCTACTAAAGTGCCAGGATTACAGGCATGATCCACCATACCTGGCCTAAATGATTCTGAAAGCATACATCTGCTATAGTAGTTCTAAACTAAAGTTGCAAAGTTAGTGAATGATTTACTTTAATAAATAAAAAAAAGCACAGGTTTAGTATTACCTCATAACGTTGCTTGTATCATTGTATTCCTATATTCTCTTAAATGTAAGTGATTAGAGTACTCAAGATACTTAAAATCTTTTCCATAATAGAGTATGATGTATTTAAAAAGTAGAGACAAATGACGTTTTAAAGCTTGTGTAAACCATCTACAGCTTTTGTGTTTCGTGGAGTCATTCATTTGATGATGTCTGATCAATATATATGAATGTCCTGTTTCCACCTCTGGTACCTATTCATTTGACAGTGAGATAACATGCATTAAAGAAACCTCATGGTATTTACATATCAGCTGAATGAAGCAACACTCACACCTTTAATTAGCATCTTCTAGTGGAAAATCAAGGTAACTGCAGGGAGTGTAACAGGGAGCTAAAGGAATATGTATCTTCCTTTGCTTAACAGTGGTCTTAATCACCCACGCCTTTTTATCTTCATTAGTGTACGAGTAAAATTGATACACCGTTTAAATGGTGACTTTATCCATGAGACTGTGAGATTAAAAAACATCTCAAACTTAATGCTGCTTTGGAATTGTTTTATAGGCTATTTTAAAAAATGCTTAACCTATATATGCCATATATGATAATTCAACTTAATTTATTCAGATAGATCATAACATTCAGTTGACTAAACTATTATTTATTAATTTATTTTGAGACAATGTCTCTTATTGCCCAGGCTGGAGTGCAGTGGCAAGATCAGGGCTCACTGCAGCCTTGACCACCCAAGCTCAGATGATCCTCCTACCTTGGCTTCTGACACGCCACCATGCCCAACTAATTTTTTTTGTATTTTTTTTGTAGAGATGGGGTTCTGCCATGTTGCTCAGGCTGGTCTTGAACTTGCGCTCAAGATCCGCCAACCTCTGCCTCCCAAAGTGTTGGAATTGCAGGCGTGAGCCACAGTGCCCAGCCCAAAGTATCATTTTAGAGAAATGGAAGTGTTTGGTAATTTATTTGTATAAATAGGCACTCTCAAATGTTGTCTAGCTTGCATCAAACTCACTAGAAAGGCTGGATAAGTCATTGCTAATTTATATGTGTAAATAGGCACTCTCAAATTTTGTGTAGCTTGCATCAGACTCACTAGAAAGGCTGGATAAGTCATTGCTGGGTCCTATCCCTAATGTTTCTGTTATAGTAGGTCTGGGTGGGATGCAGGAATTTGCCTTTCAGATTTCTAGCAAGCTTATGCTGCTCTCACAACCACAGTTTGATTAACCACTGATGCAGGTTATGTGGTATCTTTTCAGATTTATAGAAAAGTACACAGAAGAATAATCAAGCACCTGAATCCCATTATCTTGCTTTAACAAATATTAAATGTTTTATCATATTGCATTAGATCCCTTTCCCTTTTTTAAAGAAATAACACACTGCAAATGCAGTTAAATCTGTGTACTTCCTCTATCAGCTGATTTCCCTCCTTCCCTTTCTGAGAAGATAATGACTCCAGAATGTAATCATCCCATGTTCTCTTGCTACATGAATATATACCCCCAAATAAGTAATTCTGCATGTTTTAAGATTGTCTGTAAATTATACAGCATGTATCTTTTTGCAATTTTAAAAATTATATTTCTGAGATTATTGCATGTTAATACAAAGTCCTTCATAGTCACATTTATAACTGCAGTGTAATCTTTAAATAAATATACCATATTTATTTATTCTAATGATGAGCATTTAGGTTGTAGCAGGCAACATAATGGTTACACAGCTGACCACTTTTCCTTATTTTATTTTATTTTTGAGACAGAGTTTTGTTCTCGTTGCCCAGGCTGGAGTGCAATGGCATGATCTCGGCTCACTGCAACCTCCGCCTCCTGAGTCCAAGCGATTCTCCTGCCTCACCTTCCCGAGTAGCTGAGATTACAGGCACCCGCCACCAGGCCTGGCTAATTTTTGTGTTTTAGTAGAGATGGGGTT
This sequence comes from Homo sapiens, assembly GCF_000001405.40. NCBI lineage: Eukaryota > Metazoa > Chordata > Mammalia > Primates > Hominidae > Homo > Homo sapiens. The sequence goes on from NC_000002.12 coordinate 195,674,472, forward strand.
TCACCATGTTGGTCAGGCTGGTCTTGAACTCCTGACCTCAGGTGATCCACCCGCCTCGGCCTCCCAAAGTACTGGGATTATAGGTGTGAACCACTGCACCCGGCCTGCTTTTCTTTATTTACCTCCTTTTTTCTTGAGGCCTCTTATTCCCCCATGTTCTGTGAGTATTGCCTCTCCCACATACAGTCATATGCATTGCTTAATGCTGAGTATGTTCTGAGGTGCAGGCTTAGGTGATTTTGTCATTGTGTGAACATCATAGAGTATACTTAGACAAACCTAGATGGTGTAGCCTGCTATACACCTACCTATAGAGTATAGCCAGTTGCTTCTAGGCTACAAACCTGTTGATATACTGAATACTGTAGGCAGTTGTGATACAATAGTAAATATTTGTATGTTTAAACATAGAAAAGGTACAGTAAAAATTCAGTATAAAAGATTTTAAAAATGGTACACCAGTGTTGGGCACTAATATGAATGGAGCTTGCAGGACTGGAAGCAGCTGTGAGTGAGTCAGTGAGTGGGCAGTGAGTGAATGTGAAGGCCTGGGACATTACTATACACTACTGTAAACCAGTGATTGGCTTTAGCATGGGCATGTGGTAGAGACCTGACTGATCAAAGATACGTAAAGAGAGGCTTGAGGGAAATATTTTTCTCCCTGGATAAAAAGAGAGACATGAAGATGAACCTTCCATCCAAACAAGATTTCTGAGGAGGAAAAAAAATAAAAATTGTATTTTAAAAAAGATAAATCTTCCAGTTTTGAATATGATTATGCAAGGTTATCTTGGGACTCTGAGGGTAAATTTGAGCGTGCTTGGATTTTTGGTACTGTCCTAGAATCACCCATTTCTCCTGACTTCTTTTTATGTGAAAGTTTTCCTCTGTTTTACCCACTTTGGTTGAGTGTTCTGTTATTGCAATAGTTCACATTAGAAAAACATTTACAATATTGTAATAAGGATTCTCTTTTTTTGAGACATAGTCTCGCTCTGTCGCCCAGGCTGGAGTGCAGTGGCGTGATCTCAGCTCACTGCAAGCTGCGCTTCCCGGGTTCATGCCATTCTCCTCAGCCTCCCGAGTAGCTCGTACTACAGGCGCCCGTCACCATGCCTGGCTAATTTTTTTGAATCTTCAGTAGAGATGGAGTTTCACCGTGTTAGCCAGGATGTACTCGATCTCCTGACCTCATGATCCACCCACCTCGGCCTCCCAAAGTGCTGGGATTACAGGCGTGAGCCACCATGCCTGGCCCCAGTAAGGATTCTTGAATGTGTCTTTGCGTGCCTAAGTGCAAGGGTAATTAAAATGGAACTTGGGGGCTGTAGAGTGTGTTCATATTTGGCTGTAGTAAATGTCAAGTTGCTTTCCAAAATGGCTGTACCAATATATACTTCCACCAGACGCATAAGGTAGTTTGTTTCTTTATATTAGACCTTTACTTAACATCTAGTATTGTGAGATACTAATTTTTGCCTGTTACTGTCTTAGAGCCTTATCTAGATTTGAATTGCCTAGATTATTAGTCATCATGTTGCTGTTTTACCAACCTGTTTTATGTTCTTTTCATAGTTGTCTATGTAGTAGTGGAGTTTTTTTATTACTATATGTGCTTTATATACTCTGGATACTGATGTTTTATATACATTGTTTATATATACACATTGCAAATATCTTCTAGTATATGGCTTGCTATAAGCTTCCCCCTCCCCTGCCGCCACCGAGACAGAGTCTTGCTGTGTCTCCCAGGCTGGCAGGCTGAAGTGTGGTGGCACAATCTTGGCTCACTGCAACCTCCACCTCCCGAGTTCAAGCAATTCTCCTGCCTCGGCCTCCTGAGTAGCTGGGATTATAGGCGCCTGCCACAGCGCCTGGCCTATAAGCTTTTTTTTTTTTTATAGTGTCCTTTATTATAGAGTATTTTTTAAAGAATTTAGTTAATCAAAAATTTTCATCATGATATGTGCTTTGTGTCTTGCCTAAAAAATATTTCCCTATCCCAAAGACATAAAGACATTCTCTTACATTTTCTTCTAGAACTTGTTGATAATTTTGCTTTTCACATATAGGTTTTTAATGTTCTTGGAATTGACTTTTGTGTGTAGTGTGAGGAAGAAACATTTTCACAGTCAATATTATTGATGCTCTTTCAGAACTCTGTTCCACTCCACTGGCCTATCTACCCCTGTGCTAGTTCTATGTTATTTTCGTTAGTATAATTTTATAAAAAGAAGTCTTTAATACCTTGCTAATCTTCTGAATTGTCTTGATTGTCCTTGGGTTTTTGCTTTTATGAGTTTTTGAATGTGCTTATGAAGTCTCACCAAAACTAAACAGCTACCAGGATTTTAACTGGCATTGAGTTAAATTTGTATATACACTTGGGAAGATTTTATGTACCTTATGCAGTATATCCCATCTATTCATGTAGATGATGTGTTTCTCCAGGTTTTTCAGTTCTTTGCTGTCCTTCAATAACATCTTAATAAGTTTTTCCTTTTAGTGGTTTTATATGTCTTGTTCTAATTAATTCTAGAAACCATACAATGTTGTTTATAATTACATTTTGTGATTGGTTTTCAGTGAAGAAAATTTGATTTTTATAAAACTTTGTATTGAAATAGACTGTGTTCAGAAAGTACACAGAGCATAAGTGCCATGAATTATCACAAAGTAAACATATTTACATAACTACTACTGATATCAGGAAAGACCATTACACTTTGCAGTCCCCTCCATTCTGGTCTTCTCCCAATTATTACCCTCTATCTCTCTTTCAAAAAGTAATCATGGCCAGGTATGGTAGCTCACACCTGCAATCTTAGCACTTTGGGAATTTGAGTTGGGAGGAGTGCTTGAGGCTAGGAGTTTGAGACCAGCCTGGACAATAGAGCAAGACCCCAAAAAGAAGAAAATTAAAACTGAGCGTGGTGGCACACACAGCTACTTGGAAGGCTAAGGTGGGAAGATCTCTTGTGCCTGGAAGTTTAAGGCTCCAGTGAGCTATGATTGCGCCACTGTACTCTAGCCTGGGTGTCACAGTGACATCCTGTCTCAAAAACAAACAAAAAAAAATCCACAAAGTTTAGTTTTATTCCTTTTTACCTTTATATAAGAATTATACTGCTTTCTTTGGTGTTTGTCATTTTTTTCCCAATATTTGTGAAATTCATCTATGCATGAAGCTGTAATTTCATTTTTATTCCTGTGTGATAGATTTTTCTGTTTCATTTATCATTTTGTTGTTGATTAACATTTAGGCTTTTATCAGATTTTTTTTTTTTTTTTTTTGACCAGAGTCTGTCTCTGTTGCCCATGCTGGAGTGCAGTGGCACGATCAGGGCTCATTGCAACCTCTGCCTCCTGGGTTCGAGTGATTCTCCTGTGTCAGCCTCCCAAGTAGCTGGGCTTACAGGCACATGCCACCACGCCTGGCTAATTTTTGTACTTTTAGTAAAAATGGTTTTACCATGTTTGCTAGGCCTGTCTTAAACTCCTGACCTCAGGTGATCTGCCTGCCTTGGCCTCCCAAAGTGCTGGAATTACAGGTGTGAGTCACCACACCCAGCCTTTTTTCAGTTTTGACTGTGATGAATAATGATTACGTGAATATTCATGTTGGTATTCATGTACATGGATTTCTGTTGGGCATATACCCCAGATTAAAATTGCTGTGTAAGTACATAGGCTTACATTCAGCTTCTGGCAGATCTTGCCAAACAGTTTTTCAGAAGATACAATCTCTAATACTACTGTCAGTACACAAGTTCCATTTAACTCTATATATTCTTGCCTACTTTTGATATTGGCAGTATTTTATATTTCAGTTATTTTCATGGGGTATATAGTGGTATCTAATTGTGATTTTAATTTGGTTTCCTGAAGACTTCTGAGCTGAACATATTTTCATTTGCTTTTTAGGAGTTTGGCTGCTGTTATGAAGTGCTTGTTCAAGTTACCTACTCATTTTTTCATTGGGTCGTCTTATTGTAATTTTCATATTGATTTATAGAAGTTCCTTATATATTTTTGAGTATACATTGTGGTAGTCTTCTCCCAGTCTGCAGCCTGCCTTTTTAGTTAGGTTTTTTTTTTTTTTTTGGATGTCTCTTGATGAAACATAAATTCTTAATTTCAGTGTAATATATTATCAATTTTGTGTTCTATCTCGAAGGTCTTAAAATTAGTCTCCCAAATCTTCAAGATCTGCGCTTTCCAGTACAGTAGCCAGTAGCCACACGTCTGTTGAGCACTTGAAATACAGTTAGACTGAATTAGGATGTGCTGTAAGTGTAAAATACATGACAGATTTCAAAGACATAGTATTAAAAAGAATGTAAAATATTTTAATAATTTTTATATTGATTAGATGTTGAAATTATAATATTTTGGATATAATGGGTTAAATAGAATAGTATGAAATTAGTTTCATCTATTCTGGAAAACTTCAGAATTACATAATTGGCTCTTATTATATTTCTAGATTCTTGAAGTATGCTTGTCCAATAGAACTTTCTATAATGATGGACATGTTCTGCGTCTACGTTGTCCAACATACTAGCCATTTGCTACATGTGGCTGTTGAGCAATTAAAACATAGTCAGGGTGACTGAGAGGCTGCATTTTAAATTTAATTTTAGTTCATTTAAGTACCCGTATGTGACTAGTGGTGGCTACCATTGAATTGGACAGTTCTGGACACTTTATCATTTTAGCATTTCTTGTTTCAGATTTATGTTCAGGAGCTATTAGCAATTGATTTTTGTAATGATGTGTGAGGTAAGGGTCAGATTTTATTTATTATTTTCTTTTGTGTGGAAACCTAATTGACCAAGCACCAAGGAAAAGACCATCCTTTCCGGTTTTTAGCTTTTGTCTTCTGTTCCTTTAGTCTGTTTGTTATTGCACCAAATACCACAGCATCTTTGATAATTCATAGAGTAAATGCTTCAATTTTGTTCCTCAAGGAATACATCTTAGCCGTTCTTGGCCCTTTCTATTTCCACATCAATATTAAAAACAGTTAATCAGTTTTCACAAAATTCTGAGATTTTGACTGGGGTTGTATTGGATACATAGCTTATCCAGTCATAACATGATATAGCCATCCGTTTATTTAGGTCTTTTATTTCTCTCAGTAATTTTCTGTCAATAATATTTCTCTCAATAATTTCTCTCTTTTCTATGTAAAGTTCTTGTATGTCTTTGGTTAGATACATTCCTAGCTATTTGCTACTGTTGTAAATGTTACTATTTTTGAGTTTTATTTTCTAATTATTGCTGATATATAGGAATATAATTTATTACTGTCCTTATATTCAGTAACTGTACTAAACTAACTTATTCTTAAAGATTCTTTAAGGCATGCTGCATAATTAATTCTACCATTTGTGAATAATGACAGTTTCACTTTTCTCTGGTTCTTAACATATTTTATCATGAAGGAAATGGAGTAAAACTTTTTTTAGTGGATTGGCAACTTCCAGAGAATTAGATTGTTTTGAATGTGTCTAGGTAGAAACTAATACTTGTCTCTCTCTTTAAATCTCTTTAGGAAAAATAGAAATGAAGGTACATATGCACACAAAATTTTGCCTCATTTGTTTGCTGACATTTATTTTTCATCATTGCAACCATTGCCATGAAGAACATGACCATGGCCCTGAAGCGCTTCACAGACAGCATCGTGGAATGACAGAATTGGAGCCAAGCAAATTTTCAAAGCAAGCTGCTGAAAATGAAAAAAAATACTATATTGAAAAACTTTTTGAGCGTTATGGTGAAAATGGAAGATTATCCTTTTTTGGTTTGGAGAAACTTTTAACAAACTTGGGCCTTGGAGAGAGAAAAGTAGTTGAGATTAATCATGAGGATCTTGGCCACGATCATGTTTCTCATTTAGATATTTTGGCAGTTCAAGAGGGAAAGCATTTTCACTCACATAACCACCAGCATTCCCATAATCATTTAAATTCAGAAAATCAAACTGTGACCAGTGTATCCACAAAAAGAAACCATAAATGTGATCCAGAGAAAGAGACAGTTGAAGTGTCTGTAAAATCTGATGATAAACATATGCATGACCATAATCACCGCCTACGTCATCACCATCGTTTGCATCATCATCTTGATCATAACAACACTCACCATTTTCATAATGATTCCATTACTCCCAGTGAGCGTGGGGAGCCTAGCAATGAACCTTCAACAGAGACCAATAAAACCCAGGAACAATCTGATGTTAAACTACCGAAAGGAAAGAGGAAGAAAAAAGGGAGGAAAAGTAATGAAAATTCTGAGGTTATTACACCAGGTTTTCCCCCTAACCATGATCAGGGTGAACAGTATGAGCATAATCGGGTCCACAAACCTGATCGTGTACATAACCCAGGTCATTCTCATGTACATCTTCCAGAACGTAATGGTCATGATCCTGGTCGTGGACACCAAGATCTTGATCCTGATAATGAAGGTGAACTTCGACATACTAGAAAGAGAGAAGCACCACATGTTAAAAATAATGCAATAATTTCTTTGAGAAAAGATCTAAATGAAGATGACCATCATCATGAAGTAAGTATAAAAAGATGTCCGATAGCTGCTTCGTAATTCTCACATAATTGTGGTGCATTTTAAAAACAGGATAAGTAACAGTGGAGTATTAATCATATTTAAACTTATTTCCATATGTTTACCTATGAAATATCAGGTAATGTTCATGAACAGAATACATTAAGGAATCAGAATCAGTGTAAAGATTTTTAAGTATCCGGGCGCGGTGGCTCACACCTGTAATCCCAGCACTTTGGGAGGCCGAGGCGGGTAGATCATGAGGTCGGGAGATTGAGACCATCCTGGCTAACATGGTGAAACCCCGTCTCTACTAAAAATACAAAAAATTAGCGGGGCATGGTGGCGGGCGCCTGTAGCCCCAGCTACTCGGGAGGCTGAGGTGGAGAATCACTTGAACCCGGGAGGCAGAGGTTGCAGTGAGCCGAGATCATGCCACTGCACTCCAGCCTGGGCGACAAAGTGAGTCTCCATCTCAAAAAAAGAAAGAAAAAAGATTTTTAAAATCTGAATTTCACTTGTATTTGTTTGTTTCTTATATTCTCAAATTTGGTTTCCTCAAATCCAAACGTATTTTTAAGAAATTTTTTTTTGTAGCACGTATCTGAAGACTTAAGTGTTTTAATGTTGTTAGAAAATGTATTCCTTATGAATTATTTGACCCTCCAAGCTAGTCTCTTACTGTTATTATTGTTAGCCATGTTCTAGGTATTTGAAAATTAAAATTTTTTAATTGTTGTTCAACTTGTCCTCTTGGGAAGTAACTAGAACAGTTTCTAGTTCATAAATTGTTAATTTATTGAATTAACTATTGAGTGGTTCCAAGTCATTGGTGTAGCTCCAAAGTCAGGTATTTTGCACATATGGCTAGCTTGTTTTCTCTGTGTCACTTTATGATAAGGCCTACTTACTCATGATAATTGTTTTTGTCTCAGGCCTTTCACAGACTTAGGATGAATATAAAAAGGTATAATAATAAGAAACTAATAGTAATGGGATGTCCTGTTTTCCTTTAAAATTTTCATACTCTTGGGTACTTACACATTTGGTTGACTCCTTGATTTTCTTTTTAACTATTCACCTTAAGCACATTCATTTTAGTTTCATTAAAGGGATGTTGATTCCTTGTTTATTCTATTTTTAGCATTCTTATTAAAGTTTAGAAAAACTTGTTGAGTTTGTTGTTCATATGTATAGAAAGTAGCACCATCAACTGTGGAAAATGACCACATCCTTTTCTGTCACTGTCGTTGAGATATGTTTTATGTCTAGGTAAAGATCTTTGTGTTTCTTCCCTTGATAAATCATCAGCTATTTGGTTTTCAGCAGTTATAAACACTGATTTTAAAATAACATATATTAAGATCTTAGTATGATTTTAAAGTATGCATTCATTTTATTATTATTTTCAAAAATTTATTTTTTGTAAAGATGGGGTCTCACTATATTGCCCAGACTGGTCTCAAACTCCTCGCCTCAAGTAGTTCTCCAGCCTTAACTTCCCAAAGTGCTGGGATTACAGTGCATTAATTATTATGACTTAGGATAATTAATTATTATGACTTAGGATAATATCCTAGAATATTTTGTTGATAATTACAAGATTTTATTGTTCATTTCCTCTTTGTATCACATCCGTGAGGTTTGCATTATTAGACTTGTTAATGCTATTCTGATAGGTCTGATGTATACTGGGAATCTCATGATTCTGAAATGTTCAATACTTTTAATAGAGTAGTACCTTATGGTAGTTAAGACCTAAGAAGATCAAAAGCAATTAAGTGGTGCTAAATAGAAAAAAATAAAAAATAAAAAAAAAAAACTAAGAAGAATCATTTTTCTGTGTTTATAGGTTTTGATTTTAGTTTTTGATGGGTTTTTTTTGGTGCCATAGATAAAGCCATATAGTGAGGTAGCAAGTCAATAAACAAGCATGCAACCAGAGCAGATATATGTGACAAAGGGACAGTGCCAATCTCTTTTGCCGTAATATTAGATACTTGTTTTTAACCATATGATGGATCCAAACTTGTTTGCTATTTGTTTTCTGCGTTGTTTTGTTTTTTATTATTTTTTTCTTTCTCCTCTTTAATCAGTTTTAAGCTTACTTTTTTTTTTGTTTGTTTTTAAAGTACCAGTGGATGAAGCTGCCTTTATTTTTATCTTCCAGTTTTGTTCCTATCAACCGACATTGGGCTAGAATTTTCCAAAACAATATGCTTTTAGAGTGCATTTGGCAATGAAAATGTCTATATAAGCCATTAAAGTACTCTAAATCTATTTAATCTGTTTCACAGATAAGGATCTTGAGTCACCGATGATTGCAATTTGATAGGGAAATGATTTTTCTCATCATCCTACGAGAGTCTTGGGGATATAGTTGTGAGTCATCCTTATCCATGACAGAAAGTCATTATCTTTCATGTGTTGGAGTAGAAAAATTATTAAAGTCCATGAAAAGTTTTGGGTAATATAGTTGAGTGTATCCCTATTACAAATTCTTATTAAAAAGTTTTATTTGTAATAGATATCTATGTATTACAGATTATTTGCAAGTAATATTTAGAGTATTTCTTAGGCAGTAATTTATTTTTTTGCATAATCTCCTTAAAGACACTCTTATTTAATTTGTTTTATCACTTTCCTTGCAGTGTTTGAACGTCACTCAGTTATTAAAATACTATGGTCATGGTGCCAACTCTCCCATCTCAACTGATTTATTTACATACCTTTGCCCTGCATTGTTATATCAAATCGACAGCAGACTTTGTATTGAGCATTTTGACAAACTTTTAGTTGAAGATATAAATAAGGATAAAAACCTGGTTCCTGAAGATGAGGCAAATATAGGGGCATCAGGTAAGAGAGATTTTAAGTTTTTTCTCCTTAAAATAGTACCTGTACTTACTTTTTAAACTATAGTTGAATTAGAAAAGAATCCTAAATTATTGACTTTCTTTTGTTGTCAGACTTTAAATATATTTTAATCAGGTTTAGATATGCATATTTAAAAGAAACTGGGGGAAGACGGGGGCACAATGTGTTTTATTTATCTCTTCTGGTATATTACAAAGGGATATTTTGCTATGGACGGAGAACTAGATTAAAAATGAAATATAGATTTGTGATAAGTTGATTATTTTTGATGAGCAAATATAAATAATGGGACCCCCTAAATAAAGTTATTTGTTCTTCTAATTACTTAACATTTATCAGGGTGCCTCTGTTGAAAAGCAAAGATGATTAAAATTTTAAAGACATAAAAAGGGAAGCTACTGTGTGTAAACTCCAGGAATGTCTGGGAAATGCCTAACAAACTTGACATGTGAACTTTATTATGGGTATTTCTAGAGAGCTTCAACTAGGGTAAAACCAAAACTATTTTTAAATTTCTCTTAGGCTCTTTTTTCATCGTACCCACTTGGCTCCACCTTGGTGTTCACAGGTACCTCCCACTTAATATTTCAAAACTTATACTCCACACAAAATTTGTACCCCTTAATGGATCCCAAATATCATTAATTTCATTCTTTTGATAAAATCTAGAACTCTTTGACTTTCTTTTTCTCTTTTTTTTCTTTTCCTTTTTTTCCCATTCTATAATCAGGTATGAAGTCCAGTTAAAGCTATCTCTTCAGTATCTTCTAACTTCATCCACTCTGTCATAACAATTCTGGATTTTCTTGGTTATTGGATTGTTGAAATAACTTCATAACCTTCCCTGCCTGTGTTCTTGTCCCCTTGCAAGACATTCTTAGCACTTAAACTAGATTTACCTTTCTAAAATGCAAAGAGATTCTGACACAGAATTTTTTCTTTATAGTGATAGCTAACATTTTGTTAATACATACTTTTTAAATCTTATTTACTTAAACACATATCGCAGACACTGTTCTAAGCTGAATTCATTTACTCCTCACAACACTTTTATGAGATAGGTAATGTTACTCTTCCCAGTAACTTTTCTGATATCTCAGAGCTAATAAGTGGTAGTACTGGGATTTAGTCCTGTAACCATTTTGCTATCTTATGTGTTGTTTTAAATGCATTTTTTTTTCACTAAATTTTGGCAGTAATCCTATGAGGGAGATATTATGATCCTTGTTTTTAAAAACAAGATAAGGAAACTGACAGAGCCCACAAACCCTAAGGTTTGTCTGATGAAACCTCTGAGTATCTAATCCCTATGACATTGTCTTCCAAATTAAGTTAGTTCTGGTATCACCTTTGTGATTTTTCCCATATATCTTTACACTATTTAATACTTTGTATTTTATCACTAATATATATTTTTTATATCTCTGGAACATGGATTTGATGTGATGTGCTAGTTATATTTTTTTCTCATACATTTTAGGAAACTGCATCATGCTATATTGTTCAGAGCCCTTTACTTGGCCCACAAGGCTTTCCGTAATATGATCCTCCCTGCCTGCCTTGACATTCTTAACGCTCATCATTCATTTCTCTCCTCTTTTCTCAGTTCTAACCATAATAAACTACTGATAATAGATTGTGCCATTTTTCTCCCATCCCTTTCTCCCTCTTCACTTTCTAAACCCCCATGCCTGACTGACGACTACGATTCTTCAAAGATTCAGATCAAGTATTGGCCCTTCTGGGTAAACTTAGTGACCATCCTAGGCTAAATTATGTTCCCTTCCTTGACATCTCTAGATGTCTCCCTCATAGTATAGATCTTGGGGGATCTTAATAATTGAATTAATCTGTTTTTGTTGGACTTTAGTTGCTTTAATACAGTGACTAAACCATTTAAGCTCTTATGTTGATTGAATGAATACAATTGCTTAATATTAGTCTATAAGCGTTCAGTTATAATCCAGGAAAGATACTTGTTGAAATGTGTCTTTGAAGATCATTATGTGAATGTATCAGTCAGCCTGGTATACTTCGATAATGAATGTTCTCAAAATTAGTTGGATTTTCATGAACTTTTTTACCATGAAGTAATGAAAAACTATGACGGAATTACTGTGAACACAGTTCTGGATGAAATGCCAAAGACAGAGTGGCTTTAGAGGATAGTAATTAAAATGAGCAAAATGATGTATATGAATATGGACTTAAAACTGAATTCTGGCATAATAAAGGATTGAGAGGACAGAATTTTTAAACATTTCATAGCATAGGAATAAGGTAGACATCCCATTCCAATGTATAAGAATTTTATTTGAGATAGAGATACAAGTAAAAGGAAATATTATTACATAAAAAGTAAAGTCTTCTAGGCACCTACATTTCTATTTCTGGTTAATATCTTTGCAATAGGAAAATAAATTTAGACTAGATAAATTAATTATAATAACCTATGCTCTCTACTAAAATACAAAAAATTAGCTGGATATGGTGGTGCGGCCTGTAGTCCCAGCTACTCGGGAGGCTGAGGCAGGAGAATTGCTTGAACCTGAGAGGCAGAGGTTGCAGTGAGCTGAGATCACGCCACTGCACTCCAGCCTGGCAACAGAGTGAGACTCCGTCTCAAAACAAAACAAAACAAAAACCTATGTTTATTGGGACTTTACCATGTGCTGTACTAAACATTTTTACAAGGATATTTCTTTTAATTTATTAAACCCACTATACAGGCACTTCTGTTTACTTTCATTTGGTGAGGAAAAGGAGGCTTAGAGAATAAGTCAGGTAACTTGCCCAAGGTCACACAAACTGCTGCCAGGTAGCAGAGCCATGCTATGAACTATAGTATTCTCCTTCTACAACATATAATCATAACCACTGTGCTGTAATTCTTATACTTCCTGTTCTACTGTTTCCTCCTGAAAAGGTTTTGGAGAGTGCTTTGCTAGAATATAAGTGGCAGAGAAATGAGGCCAGTTTTATAGAATTATTTTTAGTAGTATTTTGACAGATTTGCAAGTATTGTTTTAAGTATAGATAAGTTGGTGGTTTAAAACAAAATCCAAGAATGGTCTTCTTGGTAAACAAGTGGGGCTCTCTGGTAAGATGAGTAAAAGGAGAGAAAGTGGGGCTTTGAACTGGATTTGAATTCTGATCTTCGAATAGATAAATTTGTCCTCTTTCTTGACTTCATGCTTATTGATCTTGGTGGATGAATAAGCGCCCTGAGAGGCCTAGTCCCTCTCAGGTGCCTGTAAATTCTCACTGTGGCAGGAGAAAGGGGAAGCTAGGTCTGAGATTAAACTTAATTAAAAATAAAATAGATTTATTTGTTCCTTACAGAGAAAAATGGAGACTGACAAGATTGATCTAAAGTTAAAACTAATAGCTTTTTTTTCTTATTTTGAAGGCTTCTGAAAAGATTCTTATTCTTTGTTGTTATGTTACCTGTGGATTATGACTTTTAATGAGAGTTGTCTGTATTGTAATATTGCCATAATCAATATATTGTAATGAAGCTGTTGACAGATGCTTGACTATAGCAATACTGAAAGTTACAGCTTATTCAATCTGAAAAGCCTTAGAGGAAATTGTACTTGCTTTGAAAACAAATATGTTACTAATAGTGAATATTGATTAGTTGTTTGCAGGTGGTTATTAGCATTGTCAGAAATGCAGCTTGAATTAATTATGTGCTGATAGATGCTAATAATTGTTAGAGATAATGCCCTGCTAGTAATTAGTTTTAATGACTACTGCACCATTAAGAAAGGTTAACTTGTTCTATATAAATCTCCCATAGTGGCACAGCTACTACCTCATTAACTTTGTTCAAAGACTGCTGTAAACCTAATATGCTATATACTGTGTATGGTAGAAATCGTTTGTTTCACAAGATTGGCTCATTTAGTCCTAGAGTTGACCCTAGCTTAATTACCAAGGGGGGATGTGAATAGGCTGCTAAGCATTTTGTGTCAATTAAAATGCTGAAGCAGTGTAGAAAACTGCCATCTTGCACATGCTTTGAACCAAGTTAATTAGAAAGTTTCCACAGATGAGCGCTTCTTTTTAAAAGAATGCATTTTCTCTCTAGATAATGAGAAAGGGAGTCAGTGAATAACTAAGCTTGAAGACCTTTAGCATTTTAAGCAACCCAATTTGCAGAATAAGTGAAGCTTGTTTCAGACATTTGGCGCTTTTTTATTGCATATGGTATCTTGGGTACATATAAAGAAAACATTTATTAGTGGTATTTAATAGTTTGTATATTGTTTTATATAAGGTTTTTAAAAGATACCTTTTGTTTAGTTTTTGCTTTATACCAAATGAATTGTGATTAAAAAGCACAACAATTTGGTTAGAAATCAAAACAATTTTATTACCACCATTGGTTTTTTTTCCTACGTGTAGGAAATTAGGATAGAGTTTATGTAAGCTTAAATTTAAATGTTATAAATTCTACAAATAAAGTATTTAAATAACATGGGAAAGTATTTTAGTACAGTAAGTTCAAAACAACTTCCCATTTCTGCTCATAGGTCAAAAGGATTATTCCTTGGAAGATTCCAAGTTGTTAGAAGAATGAACTATCATTTGAATTTGTAGTGCTTTTAGAAAACTGAAGTTTTTTTAAAATTAATAATTCAGGATAAGAAGACATGTTCGTAATGTTGTATACTTAGGAGAATAGTAGTAGGACTGTTTTCCTGATGAAATAGTTGTCCAGAAATAGTTGCAATCTACAGAAAATATCTGGAAATTTTCTGATTTATCTGAAAAGGGAAATCTAGCTTTTTACTCCTTATTTGGGACTGGCAGGAGTAAGTGACAATGTGTGTTACATGCAAAATAAATAATTAACCTTACTACTTATGTATATTTTTAGTTGGCATTGAAATAAATATATTCCGATAATTTTATGTAGTTATAAGTTTGTTTTGTCAAGGTAGAGATACTCTTTTGCCTGTCTGCCTCTATCCTAATTAGCTCAAATTTAGAAGGACTGCCATTTGGATTAATAAAGTTAGTAATCCTTCCTACTTTCATGTTTAATTGTACTTTATATTTTTATAGATTTTCTTTTCTGTGACTCCACCTCTATGAGGTAAACACAGGAGTCATAAATAAATCATTTGGCCAAGGATTCTCTGAAAAGACTGTGATGATTTAGTGGAGAAAACAGTGGATTAAAAATTAGAGGACTGGCTAGGAGCAGTGGCTCACACCTGTAATCTCAGCACTTTGACAGTCTGAGGCAAGAGCATCCCTTGAGGCCAGGAGTTCGAGACTAGCCTGGGCAACATAAGGAGACCATGTCTCTATAAATAATTTTTACATTTTTGAAAAAATTAGCTGGGCATGGTGGTGCATGCCGGTGGTCCCACCTACTTAGGAGGCGGAGGCAGGAGGATGACCTTAGCGTGGGAGGTTGAGGCTGTAGTGAGCTGTGATCACACCACCGTACTCCAACCTGGATAACGAAGTGAGAACCTGTCTCAAAAAAAAAAGAGGACTTTGGGTTTAGTTTTAACTTTGCTATTTTTAGCTATATAAATGTTTTTAAACTGTAGTAAAATTATATAACATAAAATTTGCCATTTTAACAAATTTTTTTCCAATTTTACTGTGATGAAATACAGTAACAAAATTTGTCATTTTAACCATTTTTAAGTATACAGTTTGGTGATATTAAATACATTCATAATGTTACACAACGATCCATACTATCTGCCTCTGTAACTCTTTTCATCTTGTAAAACCAAAGCTCTATACCCATTAAATAGTAACTCCTATTTCCCCCTCTCCCCAGACCCTGGGACCTATCAATCTACTGTCTTTATGTTTATGATTTTGATTAAGCATCTCATATAAATAGAACCATACATTATTTGCCTTTTTGTGACTGGCTTATTTCACTTAGCATTATGTCCTCAAGGTTCATCCATGTTGTAGCATCAGCAATTTCTTCCTGGCCGGTCACAGTGGCTCACGCCTATAATCCCAGCACTTTGGGAGGCTGAGGTGGGCAGATCACCTGAGGTCAGGAGTTCGAGACCAGCCTGACCAACATGGTGAAACCTCATTTCTACTAAAAATACAAAAATTAGCTGGATGTGGTGGCGGGTGCCTGTGATCCCAGCTACTTGGGACGTTGAGGCAGGAGAATTGTTTGAACTGGGAGGCAGAGGTTGCAGTGAGCCGATATCACACCACTGCACTCCAGACTGGGCAACAGAGTGAGACTCTCTGAAAAAAAAAAAAAAAAAAAAAAAAAAGAAAGAAATTCCTTCCTTTTTAAGGCTGAATAATATTACATTACATGTATATACCACATTTTGCTTATGCATTTATCTGTCCATAGACAGTTGGGTTGCTTCCACAGTTTAGCTAATGTGAATAATGTTGCTGTGAACATGGGCATCTCTCTCTCTCTCTCTGAGACCCTGTTTTAAATTCTTTTGGTTATATACCCAGAAGTGGAATTGCCCTATCATTTGGTAATTCTGTTTTTAACTTTTTGAGGAACTGCCATACTATTTTCCATAATGGCTGTACCATTTTACATTACCCCCAAGAGTGCACAAGTCTCCCAGTTTCTCCACATCTTTGCCAACACTTGTTTTCTTGATAGTAGTCATCGTAATGGTGTGAGGTGGTATCTCATTGTAGTTCTGATTTGAATTTTCCTAAAGATTAGTGCTGTTGAGCATCTTTTCATGTGCTTTTTGGCAATTTGTATATCTCCTTTCAGAAAATGCCTATTACAGTTCTTTGCCCATTTTTTAATCTGGTTATTCTTTTTGTTGTTGAATTTTAGGAGTTCTCTATATTCTGAATATTAATCTCCCTTATCAGATATATGATCTGCAAATATTTTCTCCCATTTTATGTATTGCCTTTTTACTCTGTTGATAATTGTCTTTTTGTTTTTAAATTTTTATTTCAATAGGTTTTTTGGGGAACAGGTGGAGTTTGATTACATGAATAAGTTCTTTAGTGGTGATTTCTGAGATTTTGTTGCACCCATCACCCAACCAGTGTATACTGTACCCAATGTGTAGTTTTATCCCTTACCCCCCTCCCACCCTTTCCGCTGAGTCCCCGAAGTTCATTGTATCATTTTTATGCCTTTGTATCCTCATAGCTTAGCTCCCAATTATAAGTGAGAACATACGATGTTTGGTGTTCAATTCCTGAGTTACTTCACTTAGAATAATAGTCTCCAATTCCATCCAGGTTTCTGCAAATGCCATTGTTTTATTTCTTTTTATGGCTGAGTAGTATTCCATGGTATATATGTGTATCTATATATATACCACATTTTCTGTATCCACTCGTTGGTTGATGGGCATTTGGGCTGGTTCCATATTTTTGGAATTGCAAGTTGGGCTGCTGTAAACGTGTGTCCAAGTATTCTAGTTGTATAATGACTTTTTTTCCCCTGGGTAGATACCTAGTCATGAGATTGCTGGATCAAATGGTAGATCTACTTTTAGTTCTTTAAGTAATCTCCACACTGTTTTTCCATAGTGGTTGTACTAGTTTACATTCCCACCAGCAGTGTAGAAGTGTTCCCTTTTCACCACATCTATGCCAACATCTATTATTTTTTGGTTTTTTGATTATGACCATTCTTGCAGGAGTGAGGTGGTATCACATTGCGGTTTTGATTTGCATTTCCCTGGTAATTAGTGTTGTTGATCATTTTTCCATATGTTTCTTGGCCATTTGTGTATCTTCTTTTGAGAGTTGTCTATTCATGCCCTGAGCCACTTTTAGATGGGATTGTTTGTTTTTCTCTTGCTGGTTTGTTTCAGTTCTTTGTAGATTCTGGATATTAGTTCCTTGTCGGATGCATAGATTGTGAAGATTTTCTCCCACTCCGTGGGTTTTCTGTTAACTCTGCTGATTATTTTCTTTTGCTGTGCAGAAGCTTTTTAGTTAAATTAAGTCCCATCTGTTTATCTTTGTTTTTATTGCATTTGCTTTTGGGTTCTTGGCATGAAGTCTTTGCCTAAGCCAATGTCTAGAAGGGTGTTTCCAATGTTCTGGTTTCAAGTCTTAGATTTAAGTCTTTGCTCCACCTTGAGTTGATTTTTTTATAAGGTGAGAGCTGAGGATCCAGTTTCATTCTTCTACATATGGCTTACCAGTTATCCCAGCACCATTTGTTAAATAGGGTGTCCTTTCCCCACTTTATGTTTTTGTTGGCTTTGTTGAAGATCTGTTGGCGTATTTGGCTTTATTTCTGGTTTCTCTATTCTGTTCCATTGGTCTATGTGCCTATTTTTATACCAGTACCATGCTGTTTTGGTGGCTATGGCCTTATAGCATAGTTTGAAGTCAGGTAATGTGATACCTCCAGATTTGTTCTTTTTGCTTAGTCTTGCATTGGCCCTGTAGGCTCTTTTTTGGTTCCATATGAATTTTAAGATTTTTTTTTCTAGTTTTGTGAAGAATGATGATGGTATTTTGATGGAAATTGCATTGAATCTGTAGATTGCTTTTGGCAGTGTGGTCAATTTCACAGTATCGATTCTACCTATCCATGAGCATGGGACGTGTTTCCATTTGTTTGTGTCATCTATGATGTCTTTCAGCACTGTTTTATAGTTTTCCTTATAGAGGTCTTTAACCTACTTGGTTTGGTATATTCCTAAGTTATTTTATTTGTAGCTATTGTAAAGGGCGTTGAGTTCTTGATTTGATTCTCAGCTTGGTTGCTGTTGGTGTATAGCAGAGCTACTGATTAATTTTGTATCCTGAAACTTTGCTGAATTCATTTACTAGTTCTGGGAGCTTTTTGGATGAGTCTTTAGGGTTTTCTAGGTACACGATCATATCAGGAAACAGTGACAGTTTGACTTCCTCTTTACCAATTTGGGTGCCCTTGATTTCTTTCCCTTCTCTGATTGCTCTGGCTAGGACTTCCAGTACTATGATGAATAGAAGTGGTGAAAGTGGCATCCTTGTCTTGTTCCGGTTCTCAGGGAATGCTTTCAACTTTTTCCCATTTAGTATAATATTAGCCGTGGGTTTGTCATAGATGGCTTTTATTACCTTAAGGTATGTCCCTTCTCAGCAAAATTGCTGAGGGTTTTAATCATAAAGGAATGCTGGATTTTGTCAAATGCTTTTTCTGCATCTATCAAGATGATCTTGTGATTTTGTTTTTAATTTTGTTTATGTGGTGTATCACATTTATTGACTTGCAGATGTTAAACCATTCCTGCATCCCTAGTATGAAATCCACTTGATCATGGTAGATTACCGTTTTGATATGCTGTTGGAGTTGGTTCACTAGTATTTTGTTGAGGACTTTTGCATCTGTGTTCATCAAGGATATTGGTGTGTAGTTTTCTTTTTTTGTTATGTCCTTCTCTCGTTTTGGTATTAGGGTGATACTTGCTTCATAGAATGATTTAGGGAAGATTCCCTCCTTTTGTATCCTGAGGAATAGTGTCCGTAGGATTGGCACCAATTCTTTGAATGTCTGATAGAATTCAGCTGTGAATCTGTCTGGTCCTGGACTTTTTTTTGTTGGCTGTTTCAATCTCGCTGCTTGTTATTGGTGTGTTTCTATATTTTCCTGGTTTGATCTAGGACGGTTGTATATTTCCAGGAATTTATCCATCTCATCTAGGTTTTCTGGTTTATGTGTGTAAAGGTGTTCATAGTAGTCTTGAGTAATAATCTTTTGTATTTCTGTGGCATCAGCAGTAATACCTCCTGTTTGGTTTCTAATTGAGCTTATTTGGATCTTCTCTCTTCTTAGTTAATCTCACTAATGGTCTATCAATTTTATTTATCTTTTCAAAAAACCAACTTTTTGTTTCATTTATCTTTTGTATTGTTGTTTGTTTGTTTCAGTTTTATTTATTTCTACTCTGATCTTTGTTATTTCTTTTCTTCTGCTGGGTTTGGGTTTGGATTGTTCTTGCTTCACCAGTTCTGTGAGGTGTGACCTTGGATTGTCTATTTGTGCTCTTTCAGACTTTTTGATGTAATAGGCATTTAATGCTATAAACTTTTAGCACTGCTTTTGCTGTATCTCAGAAGTTTTGATAGGTTGTGTCACTATTATCGCTCAGTTCAGATAATTTTTTAATTCCCTCTTGATTTCATTGTTGACACAATGACCATTCAGGAGCAGGTTATTTAATTTCCTTATATTTGTATGGCTTTAAGTGTTCCTTTTGCAGTTGATTTCCAGTTTTATTCCATTGTGGTCTGAGACAGTACTTGATACAATTTTCATTTTCTTAAATTTACTGAGACTTGTTTGTGCCTTGTCATATGGTCTATCTTGGAGAGTGTTCCATGTGCTGATGAATAGAATGTATATTCTGCAGTTGTTGGGTAGAATGTTCTGTAAATATCTGTTCCGTTCATTTGTTTTAGGGTATAGTTTAAGTTCATTGTTTCTTTGCTGACTTTCTGTCTTGATGATTTGTCTAGTGCTGTCAGTGGAGTATTAAAGTCAAAACTCAAGGTCTGCTGTTTAGATTATTTTGTCCCACTGGGTGCTCCCTTGATATGGTGTTCTCCCCCTTTCCTTAGGGGAGACCTGAGCTACAGGATTGTTTTTGTTCTTCTGGGTTCAGCCATCCAGCAGAGAGCTACTGGGCTCCAGGCTGGTACTAGGGAGTGTCTGCAGAGAGACCTGTGGTGTGATCCACCTTCAGGTCTGTCAGCTGTGGATACCAGCACCTGTTCTTGAGGAGGTAGCAGGAGAGTGAAATGGACACTGTGAAGGTCCTTGATTTTAGTTTTGTTTGGCGCTCTGGTTTTGTGTTGGTTGGCATCGAGCCAGGATGTGGCGCTTTCAAGAGTGCATCAGCTGCAGTTGTATAGGGAGGATCAGGCGATGGGTGGGGCTATAGAGCTCCCAAGAGATTATGTCCTTTTATTGCGGACTTTTCCTCAATTCAACCAAAGATGTGGTTCTTGTCCTTCCTCGGTCATGAAGATTTAGGCTCGCAGATGGGGTCTGAAGGGTGAGCACAGCAGGGTTTTACTGAGTGAAAGAAAGAAATGGGGAAAACAGACTCTCCGCGGGGCCGGAGTCCCTGCTAAAGTGCTTCTCGCTTCGCAGGTAGGCATCCCAGATTCCACACAGGAAGAAGAGGGGCCAGGCTTCTCCCAGCTGCAAACGGAGGCAACTTCCTGAGGCTCCACCCCAGTGCGCATTCCTCTCAGTGCTCAAGCCAGTTGGAGTTTTTCTGGGGACCCCCTCCCACCTGGCTGTCTCACTTTGCCTTTGGCAACCTGGGCAGGTAGAGAAAGACCACCAGGTTGGGGTAGAGATAGGCATGGCTGAGCTCAGACTCTCCTTGGGTGGGGCTTCCTGTGGCCGCTGTGGGGGATGGGGATGTGGTTCCCAGGCCAATGGAGTTTTGTTCCCAGGGGGATTATGGCTGCCTCTGCTGAGTCACACAGGTCATCAGGGAAGTGGGGGAAAACTGGCAGTCACAGGCCTCACCACACTCCCACACAACCTGCAGTCCTGAAGGTGGGTCTCACTCCCACCATTCCCCCGGAGAAGCACCGAGTCTATTTCCAGGCAGCCAGTGAGCAGGACTGAGAACTGCCCGAGATCACCAGCCTCCCCACTGAGAAAGCAAGTGGACTCACAGTTTTTTTGGTGTCTCAGGGAGCCTGCAGAGGCAATCCAGTTCCTCCAAAGGTCTGTGAATTCTCTCAGCTTTTTGGTATGTTGCTGTGGTAGTTCTTGGAGGAAAAGTTCAGGATGTGAGTCTCCACATGCTGCTCTGTCCGAGCAGGAGCTGCAAGCTATTCCAGCCGCCTATCCGCCATCTTAATCCGTAATTGTCTTTTGATGCACAAATTTTTAAAATGTTTATGAAATCCAGTTTGTCTGTTTTTTTGTTTTTGCCTGTGCCTTTGGTTTCATTTTTCAGAAATTATTCTCAAATCTAATGTTGTGAAGCTTTTGCCCAGTTTTCTTCTAAGAGTTTTATAGTTTTAGGTCATATATTTAATTTAGGTATTTGATTCATTTTGAATTAATTTTTATGTATAGTGCTAAATAAGAGTCCAACTGCTTTCTTTTGCATGTGGATATCTGGTTTTTCTTGCATCATTTGTTGAAAAGACTGTTCTTTCTGTCATTAAATGATCTTGCACCCTTGTCAAAAATCATTTAACCATATATTTGAAGGCTTATTTCCAGGCTCTCTCTTCTATTCCATTGGTATGTCTGTTTTTATGCCGTTACTGAACTGTTTTGATTACTGTAGCTTTGTGTAGTAAGTTTTAAAATCAGGAAGTGTGAGTCCTCCAGTTCTGTTTTTGTTTTTCAAGTTTATCTTGGCTATTTTGGGTTCCTTGCAGTTTCACATGAATTTTAGGATGTTTTTTATTTTTTATTTCTGAAAAAAAAAAAAAAAACCTATCATTAGGATTTTAATAGGGATTGCATTGAATCTGTAAATCAACTTGGGCAGCATTGACATCTTAGCAGTACAGTCCACCCTTAATATCTGTGAGTTCTGCATGTGCAGATTCAACCAACCCAAGGACCAAAAATATTTGGGGAAAATATAAAAATAATACAAGAGTAAAAAAATAACACAAATAAAAAGCAATACAACTATTTGCATAGCATTTATATTGTGTTAGATATTATAAATTACAGTTGGCCCTTGAACAACGTGGGGGGATTAGCAGTGCTAATCCCCGTGTAGTCGAAAATTTGTGTATAACTTTTCGCTCTCCCAAAATACAACTACTAGTAGCCTACTGTTGACCAGAAGCCTTACCAATAATATAGTCAATTTATGTCAACAGTATGTTATATCTATTATATATTGTATATTCTTAGAATAAAATAAGCTAGAGAAAAGAAAATATATTAAGAAAATCATAAGGAATTTATGTAGAATTTATTATTAATTGTAAGGATATGCAGCAGAGAATTTATTTTAAGCAAAGTGAGAGTTTATTGGAGAAAGTATAGTACACTTGGAAAAGGGCCAAGCAGGTGACTTGAAAAATCAAGTGCCTGTGTGGAATCTTTAGGATTTTCTATTCGTTATTCATATTAACTATTCATTAAATGAAAGTGAATCATGATAAAGGTCTTCATTCTCATCATCTTCATGTTGAGTAGGCTGAGGACAGAGGTGGAAGAGGGAGGGATCTGTTGGTCTTAACTGTCTCAGGGGTGGCCAAGGCAGAAAAATATCCATGTATTAAGTGGATCCTCGCAGTTCAAACCCATGTTGCTCAATGATCAACTATAATTTAATAATGATTTAAAATATAAGAGAGGATGTGCATAGATTAAATGCAATTATTATGCTATATTACATAAGGCACTTGAGCATCCACAGATTTTGGTGTCTGTAGGGGGGTACTAGAACTAATTTCTGCAGATACCAAGTGATGACTGTATTAAGTCTTCCAATCCGTGAACATGGGGTATGTTTTCATTTATTTGTCTTCTTTAATTTCTTTCTGCAATATTTTGTAGTTTTCTTTTTTACTCTTTTTTTAAATTTAACTTTCAAGTTCAAGTTACACATGCAGGTTTGTTATATAGGTAAATTTGTGTCATAGGATTTTGTTGTACAGATTAGTCACCCAGGTATTAAGCCTAGTGCCCATTAGTTATTTTTCCTGATGCTGTCCCTCCCCACCTTCACCATGGAATAGGCGTCAGTGTCTCTTGTTCCCCTCATAGAGGGGACAGCCTACAGAATGGGAGAAAAATTTTGCAAAGTTATGCATATGACAAAGCTCTAATCTCCAGCATCTATAAGGAATTTAAACAAATTTACAAGAAAAAACGACCCCATTAAAAAGTGGGCAAAGGACATGAATAAACACTTTTCAATAAAAGACATACGTGCAGCCAACAAGCATATGAAGAAAAGCTCCACATCACTGATTATTAGAGAAATGCAAATCAAAACCACAATGAGATACCATCTTACACCAGTCAGAATGTTTTGTAGTTTTCATTGTACAGGTCTTCTACCTCCTTGGTTAAGTTAATTGCTAAGTATTTTATTCTTTTTGATGCTATTGTAAGTGGAATTGTTTTCATAATTTCCTTTTCAGATGGTTCATTGTTAGTATATATAAAAATGCAACTGATTTTTGTGTTAACTTTGTATCCCGCTATTTTGCTGAATTCATTCTAATACTTTTTTGTGTGAAATCTTTTTTGTTTTTTTTAAACAGCAGAGAATTTATTTTAAGAAAAGTGAGAGTTTATTAGAGAAAGTAGAGTACTTGGAAGAGGGCCAAGCAGGCAACTTGAAAAATCAAGTGCTTGTGTGGAATCTTTATGATTTTCTATATGTAAGATCAAGTGCAAACAGATGTAATTTTACTTACTCCTTTCCAAATTGGATGTTTTTAATTTTTTTCTTGCCTAATTGTTTGGCTAGAACTTCCAGTACTATATTGAATAGAAGTGATGAAAGCAAGCATCCTTGTTTTGTTCTTCATCTTAGAGGAAAGGCTTTGTCTTTCACCATTGAGTATGATGTTTACTGTAAGTTTTTCATATATGGCTTTTATTATGTAAGGTTGTTTCTGTCTGTTCCTAGTTTGTTGAGTCTTTTGATCATGAGAGGATATTGAATTTTGTCATGTGCTTTTTCTGCTCATTGAGATGATCATGTGGGTGTTTTTTTCTTTATTCTGTTAATACATATGGATTTTTATATATTGAACTTTTATTGCATTCCAGCAATAAATCCCATTTAGTCAGGTTGTATAATCCTTTTAATATGTTGCTGGATTTTATTTGCTAGTTTTTTTTTTCTTTGACAATTTTTACATCTGTGTTCATAAGGGATATTGGTCTGTAGTTGTCATTTCTTGTAGTGTCTTTGATACCTTTAGTATCAGGGTAATGCTGGCCTCATAGAATGAGTTAGAAAGTGTTACCTCCTCTTTGATTTTTTTGGAAAAAGTTTGAGAAGGATTGGTATTAGTTCTTCTTTAAATGTTAGGTAGAATTTATCAGGTCCAGGACTTTGTTTTGTTGGAAGATTTTTGATTTCTGATTCAGTCTTACCAGTTATAGTCTATTCCCATTTTCTGTTTTTTCATGATTTAGTCTTGGTAGGTTTTGTGTTGCCAGGAATTTGTCCATTTCATATAGGTTATCCAGTTTGTTGGTTTACAGCTGTTCATAGTATTCTATTATAATCCTTTTTATTTCTTTGTAATCAGTAGTAACATCCCCACTTTAATTTCTGAATTTAGTAATTTGTATCTTCTCTCTTTTTCTTAGTCAGTCTAGCTAAAGGTTTGTCAATTTTGTGATCTTTTCCAAGAATCAACTATAGGTTTCATTGATTTTGTTTTTCTGCTCTCTATTCATTTACCTCTGGTCTAATTTTTATTATATTCTTCCTTCTGCTAGTCTTGGCTTATTTTGTTCTTCTTTTTCTAGTCCCTTAAGTGTAATGTTAAGTTTTTGGTTTGAGATCTTACTTGTTTTTTTCATGTGAGTGTTAATAATTATCTGTTTTTCCCTTAGCACTAGTTTAGATGTATCCCTTAAGTTTTGGTTGTAGTTTTGTTTTCATTTGTCTCTTAAGTATTTTCTAATGTCCCTTGTAATTTCTTCCTTGATCCAGTTGTTAAGAATATGTTGTTTAATTTCTATGAATTTGTAAATTTTCCAGTTTTACTTCAGTAGTTGATTTCTAACTATTCCATTATGGTAGGAGAAGACACTTTGTATTATATTTATATTTTTAAATCTCTTGAGACTTAATTTGCGACCTAATACATGGTCTATCCTGGAAAATGTTCCATGTGCATTGATGAATGTTTCTAGTGCTGTTTTGAGTAGTGTTCCTTATATGTATATTAGATGTAGTTGGTTTATTGTATTAAGTCCTCTATTTCCTTGCCTGTCTGCTGGATAGCTGTTTTATTCATTATTGAAAGTGGAGTACTGAGGTCTCCAACTATTATCTCCCGTCAATTGTGACAGTTTTTGTTTTGTATATTTTGATATTCTATTTTTAGGTACATAAACGTTTATAATTGTTTTATCGCTGTCCTTCCTTGTTTCTTGTAACCTTTTTTGATTTAAAAGTCTAGTTTGATATTAGTTTAACCACCCCTGCTCTCTTTTGGTTACTATTTTCATGGAATATCGTTTTCCATCTTTTCAGTTTCAGCCTGTTTGTGTCTTTGATGTAAAGTGAGTCTCTTGTATATAACACATAGTTGACTCATGTGTTTTTATTCATTCTGCCAATTTCTGTCAGTTGATTGGAGAGTTTAATCCATTTACATTTAAAGTAATTACTGATAAGGAAGGACTTCTGTTATTTTGCTGTTTGTTTTTCTGTATGCCTTAATGCTTTTTTTGTCCTTCATTCCTACTGCTAATGTCTTCCATTGTATTTAGTTGACTTTTTTTGGTAGTGAAAAGGTTAAATTCCTTTTTCATTTCCTTTTGTGTATATTCTGTGCTGTTTTCTTGTGGTTATTATGGGGATTACGTTTAGCAGCCTAAAGTTAAAACAGTCTAATTTGAATTTATATCATTTTAACTTCAATAGCATACAAAAATTCTGCTCCTTTACAACTTCATCGCCACACCTTTCTCCACACCTTTCAGGTTACTGTTTAGTGTCCTTTCCCCTTGAAGGACTCTCTTATTTCTTACAGGGCAAGTCTAGTGGCAACAAACTCCCTCAGCTTTTGTTTACTTGGGAATGTCTTAGTTTCTCCCTCACTTTTGAACGTCAATTTTGCAGCATATAGGATTCTTGGTTGACAATTTTGTTTTTTCATTTAGGACTTTGAATGTATCGGTCTATTGCCTTCTGACCCACAAAGTTTCTGTTGAGAAATCTGCTTGTAATCTTATTGAGAGCTTCTTATATGTGATGAGTTGCTTCTCTTGCAGCTTTCAGGAGTCTCTCTTGGTCTTTCAAGAGTTTGATTATAATATGTCTTGGTGTGGGTCTCTTGAGTTCCTCTTATTGGAGTTCATTTAGCTTCTTAGATGGTTATATTCATGCCCTTCATCAAATTTGGGAAGTTTTTAGCCATTATTTCTTAAAATATTCTTGCTGTCCCTCCCCCCCACCCCACCCCTCCCCTTCATCTTACTTGACTTCTACAGTGTATATGGATGTTGGTCTGTTGGTGGTACCCTCCAGGTCCCATAGGCTCTGTTCGTTTTTAGTCAATATTTTTTCTTTCTGTTCTTCAGCATCAGTAATTTCCATTGTCCTGTTTTCAAGTCCACTGATACTTCAGCCTGCTCAAATCTGCCTTTGAATCTCTCTAGTGAATTTTTCATTTCAGTTATTGTACTTCGCAGTTCCAGAGTTTCTTTTTGATTTATCTTTAGTTTTTCTACCCCTTTATTGATACTTCCATTTTGTTTATACATTATCTTCTTGACTTTTTTTTTTTTTTTTAGCATCCTTCAGACAGTTGTTTTAAAGTCATTGTCTAGTAGATCTGCCATTAGGTCTTTTTCAGGGACAGTTTCTGTGATTCTTTTTTTTTTTTTTTTTTTTTTTTTAATGTGCCTTGCTTTTTTGTTTCTTTGTATGCCTTTTGGTTTTATGAAAACTGGACATTTGATTCTAATAATATGCTAACTCTGGAAGTCAGATTCTTCTCCTTCCCCAGGGTTTGCTATTTTCTTGTTAAATTGTGTTTGTTTGTTATTAATTTGGGTTGGGGAGGGTTATTGTTTTATGCTGTCTCTGTGGGATAAACATAAGATTTTCACAGGTTTTTTTTGTTTTTTGTTTTTTTGAGACAGGATCTCACTTTGTCACCCAGGCTGGAGTGCAGTGGCATGATCATGGCTCACTACAGCCTCAACCTTCTGGGCTCAGGTGATCCTCCCGCCTCAGCCTCCAGAGTAGCTGGAACTACAGGCATGTGCCACCATGCCCAGCTAGTTTTTGTATTTTTAGTAGAGATGGGTTTTTGTCATGTTGCCCAGGCTGGTCTCAAACGCCTGGGCTCAGGTAATCTCCCATCACAGCCTCCCAGAGTGTTAGGATTACAGGCATGAGCCACTGCACCTAGCCTATCTTCACAGGTCCTTTTTGAGCCTGTGCCTTTCCCTAGGCATGCATGATTACTTTCTAATTTTCTCCAAGTATGTAGTTATTTTTGAATTTTCCAATATTTATTGCCTGGCTCCCAAAAGAGAAAAAAAGAAGGGAGGAAAAAGAGGTGCTGGCCTTTTAAATCCCCTGGAAGTCACTTTAGCCAGGAGAGAGATTTGCAAAAATGAGGAGAGGTACAGCAACATGGCCACCTGTCTCTGCCTGTACTTCTGTGATCAGAATCAGTGATCAGAGTACAGATCCTCAATATTTGGGGAGCAAAATACATTTTGTCTACTCTAGCTCCTGTAATTGTAGGGTCCTGTAGATTGAATTCAGGACACCAGGCACAGCTTCCTTTCAAAGGACTAAGGATGGCAGATGGGTAGCTGCCACTAAACTAAGAGCTGAAATTGATCAGAATTAACCACATTTTACCATCGAGCTTTCCCCTAGAAGTTGCAAGCCTTCAATAGACTACAGAGTTCCAAAGTAGTTAACATCAGACAGATTTTGTCAGTTCATTTACAGTTTAGGAGGCATACAGATTTCTGGTGCTTCCTACTCCACAGTCTTTCCAGAATCCTCCTCTTTTAACCATGTTTAAGTATACAGTTCATTGGCATTAATTACAGGATCATACTATTAAGGCCATGTTTCATTTCCTTCTTCAATTCTTCAAAGAAATACTTTAGCATCCTGCTCCCACTTGTTTAAAATTTCCATGGAAAGTTCTTCTCTTGTCTACAGCTGATCTGGGCACAGGAGTTTTGGCACCAGTTGAGCGGAAAGTTTGTTCAACTTTAATTTTTCTGTCAGAATTGTGTTAGGTCAACCAGCTGAGATGTCTGTGGTGTTGAGTATTGTTTGTGCTGTTAATTGTTGGTCCTTTTCAATTAGGGCACAAGTAAATTGATTTTTTTCATAATATGCATTTTCCATGAACTTTTTGAAGACCCTCTCCTAGACTAATAAATTCCATGATCAGATAAGTTGGGAAAATGCTGCATATTGTATTCTTCTTTCAGAGATTCACATTGCTTATTAAACTGTTAGAGGCTCTGAAGGAACCTGTGTAATTCAGCATTACCAAAACTTACTTGATTATCAAATTTCTCCTCCCTCCCCTTTGAAATACCCCCTATCTCATAGAACTAATGAGCTCAGTTTGAGAAATGCTAGATTATTAAAGTTTTTTCTAGCAGTATAATATGACAATAGCTAGTATGTGGCCAGTTCAAGTAGCTAATCACAAGCAAATAATTTAGAACAATTCTCTTTTTAAAGGGGCAGAATAATTGGCATCTTTGAAAATATTTTTATAATTTTCAACTCTGTCAATCAAGGCAATGTATATATGAAGGAGTAATTAACTATGTTATAATATTTCCAGTTGTGCCCTCTATGTTTTATATGCAAAAACAAAGTTATCAAAAGATATAGGATCAATTTTAGTCCTAGAATTTAGGTCTTTTTTTTTAGTCAGTTAAAAATCTTTTGAAGGTAGTCTTTAAAATATTTTATATAGCAAGCATGCTATACATATTTCCTCTAAAAGAAATAGAAAAATATTTTTAAAGAGTTAAAATGTTCAAAGTAATACAGAGACTATTTATTGATTTAAGTTTTCTTTTCATCAAAACACTATTCCACAAAAGAACTCTTTTTGTGAGACAGGGTCTGACTCTGTCACCCAGGCTGGAGTGCAGTGGCATGATCTTGGCTTACTGCAATCTCAGCCTCCCAGGCTCCAGCCATCCTCTCACCTCAGCCTCCCAAGGAGCTTGGACTACAGGCACATGCCACCACGCCCGGCTAATTTTTATATTTTTTGCAGAGATGGGGTTTTGCCTTGTTGCCCAGGCTGGTCTCAAACTCCTGACCTTAATCAGCCTGTCTGCCTCGACCTCCCAAAATGCTTGGATTACAGGCATAAGCAAAGGACCCTGAGCCATTAAAATATTTTTACTGGGTAATTTTGGTGACTAATTCTAGTGCATTCTTGGCTAAAATAATTCTGATTAATAAAAATTTCTAATAACTATGAAGGGTTATCAGGTGTTTACTTTGTATATCTTGTGTATTTGGGGTCTTGTCTGTAGTTCTGGCAGTCCCCATTCACCTATATTTACATTAGTAAGTAAATACATTTTATTTTTTTCTCCTAGAGTATCTTAGAGTATGAATTACTGGCTTTTCCAAGTAGTTTAGAGTGCACATTTTCAAGTTCTTAATTGAAGTTGCTTTTAGGCTGTTGCTTTTAGAAAAGTTGCTTCTATATTAGATTTTTGCCAAAATAATAAGGAGAAATATATTTGTAAAGGGAAAGTTATATATTACTGTGTAAGATACAGTTTATCTTCAGGTTAATGCTTTTGTTACCAACTCACTTTGTCCCATGTAGTTATTGTAAGTTCCCTGTCCTTTTTATCTCTATTTTTTTCTTCAATATGATTGGATCTAGAGAGCTGCAGTAGTTTTGACAAACCATTTTTGATTTAGCTGGCCAATAACTTTATTGGCTCTAAGACCTCGTGTCTAAAATTTATACCTATGACTACTTCTGACTTATTTCATTAAGTTCTTCCACTGATTTTATTTTTCCTGTCTATAAACGGGACAAACAAACTAGCCTGGTGATCATCATTAAGTTAGCCTATAAACCTTATTTGAGCATATATTTTTTCTTTCTAGAATAAGGTTTTTGACATCAGCTCCCCGCGGTTTGTCATCCCAACAATAGTTAGTTAGAGCAATCACTGCCCCACCCCTGCCCCTGTGTTTTTTTGTTGTTGTTGTTTGTTTGTTTGTTTTGAGATAGGGTCTTACTTTGTCACCCAGGCTGGAGTGCAGTGGCACAATCTTAGCTCACTGGAACCTCCGCTGCCCAAGCTCAAGCGATCGTTCCACCTCAGCTTCCCAAGTAGCTGGGGCTACAGGCATGTACCACCGCGCTTGGCTAATTTTTGTATTTTTATTCCATATGGAGTTTCACCGTGTTGCCCAGACTGGTCTCAAACTCCTGGACTCAAGCTATCCGCCTGCCTCAGCCTCCCAAAGTGCTGTTTACAAGCGTGAGCCACCACGCCAGGCCGCAATCCTCCTCATCCTTTCTTTCCACTAACCAGGATATATTATTTTTGTAATAAATATGATCCTGGTTCCTCAAGAATTGAGTTCCTGCTCCTTCCTTAATCCAAAATCCTTGCAAGGATTGAAGCCATTGAATCCAAATCTAGTGGGTAGATCCTCAGCCCTCTAATACTGGTTGTGTTTGAATCTTATTTTGCCTCTTAGGTTACCTATATTTATGTGATAGGAATTCTCTTTTAAGATACAGGGGAAGCCACAGAGCTTCTATTAGTGATAGATTATCTATTGTTTTAATTCGGTGAGATAATTGAGCTAATGAGTATTGGCTATAGTGTTAACATTACTGGATATTGTGAATACAACGCCCATTGGATAAAACAGTTTTATTGATAAAGTTCAGCCTTTAGTGGGACAGTTAGTATCATCTCCCTATCTTTACTTTTCCTTGTTGTTGAAAATTTTGAGTTATTTTGATGAAGAGATGTATTTTTTCAATATTATATCACAGACTTAATATAAAGTCTTTCAGCAGATTTATAGTCCTCTTAGATTTGATTTGAAAAATAGTATTTTAGATTAAAATCTTTATAAAATTATTGCTCTTCAGTGAGATTTTCTGTAGATAGATCTTAAAATAAGCAGAATTTTAAAAACTAATAACATTTCTATTTCATTTTAGGCCAATAATAGAAATTGTAATGAAAATGTCCAGCCCCCAAACCACTGGCATATATTTCTGATGTCTTACCTGTTTGTGAATGACCTAGATAAAGACATGTATACAGAATTCCCCTTCCCCACCATACCTATTTTTCTTTAAGTCAT
This sequence comes from Homo sapiens, assembly GCF_000001405.40. Classification (NCBI taxonomy): domain Eukaryota; kingdom Metazoa; phylum Chordata; class Mammalia; order Primates; family Hominidae; genus Homo; species Homo sapiens. The sequence goes on from NC_000002.12 coordinate 195,705,920, forward strand.
ATTGTGAAAACATTTCTCTTGTGTTCTGAGCCAGTTAAAATTATATAGTGACTTTTTTTTAAGTGGTAAATTGTTACAGAAACCCAAATTGGAGGAATGGGAGTTTGGAACCAGGTGTGGAGAAAAAAAATCAAGAAAAATAGGACTGAACTAACCTTTGTAACAATAAAGCTACCAGTAATAAGACTTTTTTGTTATCTCATCATATGAATATATTTCCATTTGGGGCTATGTTACATTTCTTAAACTCTGTATTAGAAAGATTTACAAAGATTGTAACACGTTAAATAGATACTTGGCTTTTTTAATGTTCTCAGGTGAGTTTTATAATTATATTCTTTAAATAAACAGCTTTATTGTTGTGGCTCTGCCTTTAGACTTGGGAAATTTTTATTTATAGTTTAGCTATTAAGTGAATCACAGCCTTCAGTCATTTTAAGTCACTGGTTCTTATCTCGTGGGCCATTGAAGGTACTATTTATAACTTGATCTGAGTGTCTTAATTCTTTTTAAAAATGTTTAAGTTAGTTATATGTCATATTTTTGTTTTGTTTTTAAACAATGCCTTAAAGCTTTCATAATCTGGGTAAAATAGTCTACCTTCTACGATTCATTTATCTTATATTTTTATTCTTTTTGGTAGTCTGTTGGTTTAAATTGTTATACTAATGTTGACTCTTAATTTCTTTTCTACAGCCTGGATTTGTGGTATCATTTCTATCACTGTCATTAGCCTGCTTTCCTTGCTAGGCGTGATCTTGGTTCCTATCATTAACCAAGGATGCTTCAAATTCCTTCTTACATTCCTTGTTGCATTAGCTGTAGGAACAATGAGTGGAGACGCCCTTCTTCATCTACTGCCCCATGTAAGAAATGTTTTTAATGTTTTTAAAAATTTAAAATAAAAATATTTAAGCTGAAAGGGTCCTTCATTAGCAAGCTATAGCACAGTAATCTAGTATTTGTATTGTTTTATTTGCTTATAGGATGAAGTATTTTTTTCTCCATTTTCAGAGTTTTAATAGCAATATTTTTTTAAATAAATTGAATCATTAGGTCAACTTTGCTTTCAATAGTCTTTAAAAAAAACTCATTGGATTAAAATTTGCAATATCAGTAGCAGTGAGTGGTCTTTTTTATCTGTGTAGCATATCAGGTTAGCCTTTAGGAGAAATGCATAAGATATGTTGTAATGATTATGCCTGTAGGTGGTATGCCATCAGCATCTTTGAGCGGGAGTAGGCAGATACACTCAGTGCGCTGTTTTACACTTAGCTCTTTATACATGGGGGCATTTATCTTTTCACCTGTCATGCCAGTCCTTTTCTTCTCTTTGGGGACACTTCTAATTATATGATCACAAGCCCATATTCCTAGTACCATGCTTACCAACCTTTTTAAAAGTTGCTCTCTATAACCTATCAATAGTTAGTTAGGTAGATAGCTGTCTATCACCAGCTAAGAGTATTTAATTCACTCTTACTATTTTTACTTCAAATTATGAAAACAATGGGGATTTTTCTTTTCCAAATATAAAATTGAAGTATTGAGTATTTCCCTTCTAGAGAATTTGGGAGACAGGATTATATTTGTGTGTTGTGTATATCTCCTCTCTTCTGCACTCTTGGTTGAGAATTCCAGATTTAGTATCTACAGCAATATATGGCATTGCTTTTTTTTTTTTTAATAAACAGGTTAATGAATCTTAAGGCTGTGAATATGAAGTTTTTGTTTCACCATTTCTACTAGCCATCAAGAATAGCAACAGTTTCCTTTAGAACTGGGCCTAGTAAGAGTTATTGAAGTGAGAACAGTATTTAAGTGCTGTTCAACTTGTTTTTGTATTAAGAAGGGTTAACTAAACCTAGCTGTTACCTTTTTGAGTGGTCTGATATCCTCTGAGAGGTTTAGATATCTCTTTGGTTGACCACTAGTTAACAGGAAAAGAATACAAATAAATTTTAGAACGAAGAAAGATACCTAAGTGCAGTTATCTAACTTATGTTCTATAAGATTACTGTTGTGATACTTGTACATTTCATAATGTTGAAACATAACCTTTTCTATACATACATTTATGATTGCTAAAGCTTTAAAATATAGAAAATTACATATTTAAGGATACCCTCTTGCTAACTTTCCACAGTATATGCAGAGATAGCGACCTTATTACCTCTGAAATAATTTTATAAGAGAAGAAACTGATGAAATAATCTGTACAACAACTCCCCCTGACATAAGTTGACCTGTGTAACAAACCTGCACTTGTACCCCTGAACTTAAAATAAAAGTTAAAAGAAAAAATATATGATAATCAGTTTAAGAAAGAATTAGATTACAGGGAATCACAAGTGACTGCTGGTGAATTAGTTTGTGTGTTTTGTTTCATTTTTACTAAATATTTGGCATGTAAGTAGATCATGTTCACTTCAATTTACAAAGAACCCATCACTCCCTATTGTTACTTCTGGCTTGATTCTCTCACTGTAGTATGTATCTTATTCTTATAGCATTTGACTTGGTGTCTTTGAGTTACTGTAAAATGTAGTAGTATTTTGGACAACTGAGTAAAGCAAATTAAATGGAAGACTAAGTGAGATAATATCTAGGGGAGCACTTTAAAACTTGAAAGGTATTTTTTCTGTGTCATTTAGGAGATTATAATTATTATAATTTCAAAATTTTAAATAGCATTTCAATTATTTGTTTAGAAGTTTTATTTGTTCTTATTAATAGTCTCAGGGTGGACATGATCACAGTCACCAACATGCACATGGGCATGGACATTCTCATGGACATGAATCTAACAAGTTTTTGGAAGAATATGATGCTGTATTGAAAGGACTTGTTGCTCTAGGAGGCATTTACTTGCTATTTATCATTGAACACTGCATTAGAATGTTTAAGCACTACAAACAACAAAGAGTAAGTATTTTTTATTTATTTAATTTTATACCATAAAACTCAAAACAAAAATTATCCTTTTCTGGGTATATGCTTTCCTTAATTATGATGTTGGTGTGTATTAAGTCTCAGTTTTGTAACAGCTAATCTTTAGAGTAAAAAGCTGACTTTGGTTTTTTAAAATTAAATATGTGGTTGTTGTTGTTGTTTGGTTTTTTTGAGACAGGGTCTCCCTCTGTCACCTAGGCTGCAATGCAGTGTTGTGATCATGGCTCACTGCAACCTTGACCTCCTGGGCTCAGGTGATCCTTTTGCCCCAGCCTCCCGAGTAGCTGGGACCATAGGCACATGCCACCATGCCCAGCTAACTTGTATGTATGTATGTATGTATGTATGTATGTATGTATGTATGTATGTATGTATTTTGAGACAGATTCTCGCTATGTGGCCCAGGCTAGAATGCAGTGACATGATCTCCACTCACAGCAACCTCCACCTCTTAGGTTCAAGCAATTCTTGTGCCTCGGCCTCCTAAGTGGGTAGGACCATAGCTGCGCACCACCATGCCTGGCTAGTTTTTGTATTTTTAGTAGAGACAGGGTTTTGCCATGTTGGCCAGGGTGGTCTTGAACTCCTGGCTTCAAGTGATCCACCTGCCTTAGCCTCCCAAAGTGCTGGGATTACAGACATGAGCCACCATGCCTGGTGCCCTCTAACTATTAAAAATTATTTGTAGAGACAGAGTTCTCAGTATGTTGCCCAGGCTGGTCTTGAACTCCTGGGTTCAAGTGATCCTCTCACCTTAGTCTCTCAAAGACTTGGGATTACAGGCATGAGGCACCACACCCTACATGACTTTGATCTTTGCCATTTTTGTTACTACATTTATTTTGGCATTTATAATCAAGATACAGCAGTCTCAGTTTCAGTTATTTTGTGTTACATCATACCTAATTGACTTAAATAGGATGGCAAAAGATATTTTCTAATTAAGTTTATTATAAAAATGTGAAAGTATGTAAAGAGAAGCAAGTTTCATCCGTCTTCTTAGGTAATATTTTTAATCATGTGACTTTTATTGTAGTATTTTTTAATGAAAATGTTTTCACACAAAAAGTGTTTTCACACTTCTTACTGGAGGTAAGAAGTCAGATTAAGGGGGCTTTGTAGGAAGAAAATAAAATGAAATGATGGAAATGGTGACTCTTTTCAAGAATGATGCACCACTTTGGAGATGATGCTTGACGCTTGGTTGAACTGTTGCTTAAATACTCTGATGGTGATGCAGCTGTCTGTTTCACCTCACATTTATGAGAATACAAAAAATATCTAAGAAGAATTATCCTCCAAGAAAGTAAATTCAGGGCTGCTGCCATTCACTATGATTTATACTCCTCCCTATTCACTTCAGTTCACATCTGCCTTTTAAAGCTCTATCCTGAATACATCTCACTAACATGTTTGTGATACTAACAGTGATTATCTTCAGTATATTCTGTTTAAGTAAAGCTTTCCACAAAAAAAAGAGTTGGAAAATTCATTTTGTTAGTTAATTCCAGATACCTTTTTTGGGATGGTCAAGATCTTAAAGATGTGCAGTCTACTTTTAAGATACAATTTTATACTATTTTTGTTTCTGTTTTGTTTGCATATGTGTGTGTTTTGTATATATTCCTTTCATGATTTGGAACAGATCTCTGAACTGGGATTCATGGGAGTGATTCTGGTTTACATAAAACTTATTTGTGTGACTATGACTCACTCCTCATGATTTCCAGTAGTTATCTAAATCATGAGAAAGAAATCTTACTTCTCATCTGTATTTTCGTATCTTATTTCAAATTGTATATTTTAGTTATATTTAGTCAGGACATCATCACATTTGTTTGCCTCCAAAGGAGAGGTGATTAAGATAGCCTAGAAAAGAAGAATGATAAAAGGAACTGGGAAAGTTCAACTTAGAGAAAAGTAAAAGAGAGCTAACAGTATTTAGATTTTGAAGGGGCTTGTGGAAGGTGAAGTAATTAATTCTGATGGACGAGTAGAGAATAAAATATGGTGGGAGGGATGCCAACACAGAAGGGGCTGCAGGGAAACAAGAGTTGGCTAAGTAGATGACTGCAGAATAATTCAAAAGAGGTGGTGGGGCTTGAGTGAGGGTCATGGCAGAAGAAATAGGAGAGGAAAAGATGATTAAGGGAATTATTTAGATGGGAGAATCAAGAAGACTTCTTAGTTGATTAGATGTAAGACATATAAGTATTTAAAAGTTCATCACTACAATAAATTAGATATTGCAAAGTTTGTAAAGAAGTTTTAGAATTGCCAATTGAGCATCTCTAATGTGACAATCTAAGATCTGAAATGCTCCAGTGAGCTTTCCCTTTAACCATCACGTCAGTACTCAAGTTTCAGATTTTGGAACATTTCAGATTTCAGATAAACAAGTTTTTTGTTTTTTATAATTTGATCTTTTTAATCTCATTTTGAACCTAAGCTTACTGGTGCTTATACATTTATTTTTGCAAAGAAAACTGATACAAGAATGGAGTCACCAAACCATGACAGCTTTTTTGTAAATTTGAAATTGTGGGAAGTAAAACACTGGAAGAACACCTTGGATGCAGGGAGTGTTCTCTAAATATTAAATAGTAAGGAATTCTCAACTATATCAGAGAAGGGAATCTGGCCAGATAAGTCAGGGCATCTGCTTTATGGTAAATAGGACAATAAGTAACCTAAGATGAAAAGGTTATGGCATTCTTTTGAAGAAAGGGAATTAGTGATACTTGAGTAGAATAGACATTTGACAGTCTGCACAGAATAATCAACTGTTTCAGCTTTCAAACCACAAGTTAAATAATACACTAGATGTTGACTTGTTTCAGCAAGTTGGGGACCTTGAGGGTAATGATTTGCAAGCTTCTAAGAAAGTGGACTATCAGAACCAAAGCAATTAAACAAAATCTCAGCTGGTGTTTTCATTTTCTTTAATTTCTATATCCTTCTCATTGACTTTTGTACTATTGTTGGCTCCTCCTTCCCCTTTTTCCCCTTAACTCATGGTTGCCGTTTTTTTTCTTCTCTTTAGGACTTGTCCGTATCATTATTTTCCTGTGAATGTCTTAACTCTTCCCAGTTTCTATCGGCTTAGTGGCTTACATTAACCATTACTTCTCTTATTCTCTGTGCCAGGATTCAAATGGGGAGTTCCTCTCTACTTGCCATTTGCTAGAGTCTTTAACACTATTACATTAAAATTCAGCAGGCCACTGGATTAGGATGTATAGGGCTGGAAAGTCCAAGAATACTTCACTCCCTGTCTGCATCTTAATGCTTCTCCACATGGCTTCTCTTTCTAGGAGAGACCAATCTTCTTCATAGGATAGTGGCTGGCTTTCCTGAGCAAAAGCAAAAGCTTCCAGATCTCTATAAAGCTAGTTTTGGAAGTGGCACAGCATCACTTCTCCTGCATTCTATTGATCAAAACAAGTCAAAAGGCTAGCCAGAATTCCAGGGCAGGGGGGTAGATTCCATGTCCTCATGGGTGGAGCAGAATGCTCATACAGGGAGGAAGGAAATTGATAGTGGCCATCTTTGAGATTACCTTATGCTCTACTAGCCATGCAAGCTTACTTATGCAGCAGTTAGACGACTTAAACATCTGAAACATAGTTAACAGCCTATAAACAAAACCAGCAACAAAAAAATGCCATGCCAGTCAGTAAGCGTCTCCCAGAGAAAACTTTTTTTTCAACAGTGTTCTAGAATAATTATTTGCTTTCTTAAATTAGCATACATTAGAAGCAGAAATTTAAGTTGGAAGAGTTGTTAGTGGTAGTTACATTGATAAAAGAAGAAAGCAGTAAAAGCCAGACTGTGAAGACATACAGTAAGAAAAATTTAAACCTAAACAATGAAGTACAATAATTAGTATTTGTAACTAATTAAGGACAGATTAAATTATGTTCTCCATCTAAGTCCAAGGTGATAAGAAAGGATGCTTGTCTTTACTATAAGACTACTAAGAGTCACTTACTGTGATAGGTCCTTTCATACATCACCTCATTTAATCCTCATAAAAATGTTATTTTTATTTTTACAGATGAGTATTCTTATATTCAATAAATTTAACAAACTTGCCTAAGTGTCAGATGGAAACTACAAACTTAAGATTCTCACTCAAATTTGACTCTTCTTTACGTCACATTCAGGGAAATATAGATTGCATTAAATGTGAATGAAATTCAAACAAGCTTTAGTTTTTTGGAACTTTCTGTTACCTTACACTATTGGATAAGAGATTTTACACATGTTATACACGTTTCATTTGTTGCATCTAATAATTCAGTACTGTGTGCTCTGTTCTTAACTTCAAAGTAGATGAATGGAACCTCTTAGTTGAATATTTAAAAAAATACAAATTTAGTTGGATTTTTCATCTCTGGATTGCTTTACTCCCAAGAATTTTTTTTCACGCCCCTTTAAAATAATTTATATATAAAGTTAACACCATTTTTACCTGTAGGTGTTAATGAGTCAATATTGTTGCTAATTGTGTCCTCACATTTTATACTAATATCAGATACTATTTTTTTTCTTTTTTTAGGGAAAACAGAAATGGTTTATGAAACAGAACACAGAAGAATCAACTATTGGAAGAAAGCTTTCAGATCACAAGTTAAACAATACACCAGATTCTGACTGGCTTCAACTCAAGCCTCTTGCCGGTAGACAGCAATTCTGACTCAAGACAAACTTTTTTCTTTTTTTTTTTTCATTCAAATTTACATTTAATTTCTATTTACATTCATTCAATCTGAAATTAAATAATACAGTAAACTAAATACAAGATGAAAAGCAGAAAAGGTGTTACCCTCATAGCACTCTTAATAAGGCAGCTGAATAATTTATTTACTGATAGATGCAAAGCCAACTTGGGATAGGAGAAACAACAGTTTAAAGAGCAAACACATAGATGAACCTATCTTTCAGATGTTACTCTAGATGATCCACTGAGATAATACTTGTGCTATAAAGATAAGAATTACACAAGAAAAAGTACTGTATTAATCAGCAACAGACCACAGGTTATGCATGACAAAGACTTTTTTTTTTTTTGAGACAGAGTCTCACTCTGTCGCCCAGGCTGGAGTGCAGTAGCGCCATCTCGGCTTACTGCAAGCTCCGCCTCCCGGGTTCATGCCATTCTCCTGCCTCAGCCTCCCCAGTAGATGGGACTACAGGCGCCCACCACCACGCCTGGCTAATTTTTTTCTTTGTATTTTTAGTAGGGACGGGGTTTCACCGTGTCAGCCAGGATGGTCTCCATCTCCTGACCTCGTGATCTGCCCACCTCGGCCTCCCAAAGTGCTGGGATTACAGGAGTGAGCCACCGCGCCCGGCCGACAAATACTTTTATGATAGTTTGTCTAGCTTGCTAGTGTCTCCTCCTATGAAAAAAGGTAGATGTTTGGACATTGATGTTTTTGAGAAATTAACCATTTTCAAAATCTATTCTTCATAAATTCAGCATTTCTCATGGGAATAATCTTAGATCTAGCCCTTGTAAGCTAGGAGCCATATGATTAAATATTCAAAATAGGTCCTATATTAAATATATGATCCAAGGCTCAGAATATTAATACTATATAAGATGCATCTTGTTTATAATCATTTATTACCTGTGGTAAAGAATGTTGAATTTATAGAGTATCACAGATGCATTCTCCACCCCTCCCCCTCAGATTATCTTCTGTCTCAAAAAATAGTGTGGAAAAATCCCTCTTGAAGGATTCAAATTAGTTAAAACCATAAAAGGGGAAAAAACAACATAATTTTCCTAAAAATCTGGTTCAAGTTCAATATTTAATACTTTACATTATTAATCACTGCTGGTTTATAAATCCAAATTTAGTTATTCTGTAATGCTACAAACCTTTTTTTTGAGACGGAGTTTCACTTTGTCACCCAGGCTGGAGTGCAGTGGCGTGATCTTGGCTCACTGTAAGCTCTACCTCCTGGGTTCATGCCATTCTCCTGCCTCAGCCTCCCGAGTAGCTGGGACTACAGGCGCCCGCCATCACGCCCGTCTAATTTTTTGTGTTTTTAGTAGAGATGGGGTTTCACCATGTTAGCCAGGATGGTCTCAATCTCCTGACCTCGTGATTCGCCTGCCTCAGCCTCCCAAAGTGCTGGGGTTACAGGCGTGAGCCACTGCGCCTGGCAATGCTACAAACCTTATAATCAAATTAGTAAGCTTAAGTGATTATATTTTAATTAAAAAACAGCATGTATAAAATAAAAATATTTCCTATAATAGCTGATTTTAAAGAAAATAAGTGATGAAAAAAGCACATAATCTCTTTTATATACTTACCTGGTATAATCATAAAGAACTCTCTTAGAAACTCAAGACTAGTGGCTGGGTGCGGTGGCTCACGCCTGTCATCCCGGCACTTTGGGAGGCCAAGGTGGGCAGATCAAGAGGTCAGGAGTTCAAGACCAGCCTGACCAATATGGTGAAACCCCGTCTCTACTAAGAATACAAAAATTAGCCGGGTGTGGTGGCACACACCTGTAGTCCCAGTTACTCAGATGGCTGAGGCAAGAGAATCGCTTGAACTTGGGAGGTGGGGGTTGCAGTGAGCCAAGATCGCGCCATTGCGCTCCAGCCTGGGTGACAGAGTGAGACTCTGTCTCAAAAAAAAAAAAAAAAAAAAAAAGAAATTCAAGACTAGTAATACTGACATCTTTTAAACTAGGCTTGAATTTTTACAAATAAATATAAAGAAGCAATACAGCATAGGTGTATGCTTTCTGTGACACTAATGTGACACTTGACATGTTTTCATAGTCATAGTAGGGATATCCATTTATGAAATAGAAGTTCTCAATAAACTTTCCACAGCAAGGGAAATAAATTTCACTTAATAAACGTGAAGTCAGAAAAACTTATCTATTTGTGTGGCTGGTAGGCATGCAATAAATGCTTTTTATGCAGAAAAGTTGCAGTGTTTGCCACTATTGCTGGCAGTACTAATTATGAAAACAGTTTAACTGGGGTGGTTATACCAGCCAGTCACAGCGTGCATGTTACTAGTAAATAGGACTGAGAAGGAATATTTTGGTGTATTAAGTTTCACTGGAATTTGGTCAGGCAGTCAACACTACAGTTAGTAAATACATTTGAAAACAAGTGTCAGAGTATCACAAGCCATTTACTGTCTGAAATAATGCCTGTACATTTCAGCATAGCTTTTTGGGTTCTGGCTTTTCAGACATCACAAATTGTCAGAGAACGAGGATCTGCACTTTAAGTACAATTCTGCTCTTTATCATTATTGTAGCTTCTAATTTGCCAGCTACAGTTAATAAAGTTCTCAGTAGGCTGCTGCAATAAGGGAGGAGGGGGTCTAGAGGGAGTAATTTTTTTTAAAAAAGGCTTTCTATCCAAAGATGAACTCTTTCCGAACTTTTATCTTCATGCTTTCCAGTTTTTCTCCTCACTTTGCCTGCTTTTGATTTCAGTTCCCTCCCGTTGACCTCATCCGGAGCATCTTTTAAATCTCCCCCCAAACCCAATTTCTTCTTTGTGTGTGTATGTTTGTTTTGTTTTGTTTTGCTTATTTTTTAATTTAACTCCAGAAATCATTTTTCTATTAGAATGGCTTCTAAATAATTTTAGGAAATTATTTAAGAATTCTAAAAGACATTCACTTAAGAAATGTTCATTGCACTGCTATTCTGTTTAAATTAGCAAATATCCATGCATTTAATTATTGATAAAGCATATCCTTTGCTATAAATACAGGAACTGATGACTCGGTTGTTTCTGAAGATCGACTTAATGAAACTGAACTGACAGATTTAGAAGGCCAACAAGAATCCCCTCCTAAAAATTACCTTTGTATAGAAGAGGAGAAAATCATAGACCATTCTCACAGTGATGGATTACATACCATTCATGAGCATGATCTCCATGCTGCTGCACATAACCACCACGGCGAGAACAAAACTGTGCTGAGGAAGCATAATCACCAGTGGCACCACAAGCATTCTCATCATTCCCATGGCCCCTGTCATTCTGGATCCGATCTGAAAGAAACAGGAATAGCTAATATAGCCTGGATGGTGATCATGGGGGATGGCATCCACAACTTCAGTGATGGGCTCGCAATTGGTAAGTGGACTGGAAACCACTGTCTATGCTAATCTTATGGACTATAATATGTATGATTAAATTTGGCTGGAGCTTAACAAATATATGGTTATGTATCACTCTGGTCAGTTGATTTTTCCCAAAGGCTACAGTTTTGTGTTCAGTTGTTACATTTGGAGGTGTAAGGGTATAATTTAGTGGGGTTTTTTAGAACACGTAAACAAATGTCTGTAGTATATTTCTTTAATAACTTGATTTCTCAAAGTAGAGTTACCATATTGAAAAAACTGCTTAACATTATATTTTCAAATGTATTTACATATCCCTAAAAGAGAACAGTTTAATTTCAATCCTAGGTTTAATAAATTTGCCATATCTTTGAAAAAGCAAAAAAAAAAATTTACAACATTGAAAATCCATTGTACTAAATTCAAATATATTAGTATCTTGCTAGAGTAAACGGATATTACCAGTTAAAAGGAACATTAAATGTGATCAATACATAATTTTCTTTGAGATCCAGACTCTTTTAGCACCCAGAAGTAGGCTTTGGTTTCTTTCAGAAAGCGGAGACCATGTTTTTGAATTTACAGTAGCTGTTTTTGTTTTTTTTTTTAAATAGAGACAGTCTAGATATGCTTCCCAGGCTGGTCTTGAACTCCAGGCCTCAAGCAACCCTTCTGCCTCAGCCTCCCAAAGTGCTAGGATTACAGGCATGAGCCACCTGCTCAGCCTATAGTAGCTGTTAATACTAAAGAATAAATAATTCTGCTAGTAGACCTAGATGCATTTATAAATCTGACCTCAGTCCTCAATACTACCAGACAAGTAATACTTTGTGCCATTTATTTTCCAGGTCTAGGAAAGTTTTGATAAGGATGTTAGCCATTTAAATCCCTATAAAGATCAATGTGAGAGAGCAAGTACAATCTTAGACTTATAAGACTTAAAGTTGACCATCAAACCACTACTTTGAAGTTCTGAAAATTGTTACTATTCCCGAGATATTAGTGAGTTGGAAGGCTACAAAAATAGAGAATTAAATTGAATATGGAATATTGCTTTTATTGAATAGCTATTTCTCTAGTTGTTACATACTTATTATACTCCACTATATGTTCAAAAACTATAGTGTGTAAGATAAGTGAGTCACTCATATGTTAAGAAATTAATTTAGATAGGCAAAAGAAACTGCATCTGTCATTAATGAAAATGTGAAGAGTTAAGATCAGCAAACCTCACTTGTTTTTTTTCTTATCTTCCTCAGGTGCAGCTTTCAGTGCTGGATTGACAGGAGGAATCAGTACTTCTATAGCCGTCTTCTGTCATGAACTGCCACATGAATTAGGTAATATAACCTTAAAAATTTTACCAGATTTCATCAAATCTAAGACTTCCTTAATTGTAATTGCATTCAAATTTCAGAGATGTTCAAGCATAAAAAATGGCTGATGGCAACTATAGTGTCACTAATTGTAAGATACTTCATGATGTTAAAATATGAAAAAAAAAATGCTCCTTAAGATTGATGAAATGTTCATTTCTGTGTGGTTTCCTTTGCATTCAATAACATAGTTATGCTGTTATAATGAAGATTATAGATTATGACTGGTTCACTAAGTATAACTTTTAAAAAGAAATATTTCTTAAATGCCACATTTTGCTGTTAATCTACTTTTATTTCATATACCATGTAGACTATATTTTTAAAAGAATCAGGGTAAAGTTTGTAATTACATAATTGAAAGTTGTCCTAGATGTACCTAAGGCAGTCTTTCTTCATAAATAATAGAAAGTTAATATTGATGTTCAAAAATGTTACCTGGATGGTTATTAAAGATAGATAGGTTCTTAACTCGGTTACTAACCAGCACTGAGGTTTTAGAGTAATCATTTATTTCCAAAGCTCTTATTTTATGAAGTAAGAAGGTTGGATGATTTCTGTTTTCATTTTATATATTTTAATATTATAATCTTAATACCCAAAAATCTAGTATGTGTTTCTTATGTGATTTTGGTCGAATGGAACTGAATACTCAAAAAATAATCTTTAAAAACCTATATTTTTCTTTTTTCATTTAAAAAAATGTTTTCTTGTTTATTGATACACTTTCAACTATAGTAATCATATATATTATGTTGGACTTCATTCTTTTTTTTTTTCGAATGCATTTCCCATTTGCCCTTAGAAATGAGCGCTAGAAATGAGCTGCACTTTTTTTTTCTAAAAGGGAAATGGGTTACTTCCTCCTCGCTTTGATTCGCTTTCCTGATACAACCCTTGTGTTTCTTACCTTATGTTACTTATTACTGTGTTTTAAAACTCTCCATCCCGATTACGATGAGTTAATTTAATCTGTTGTTTCTGCCCAGTACTCAGAAATGTGCTTTCGCCACATTTTACATATGTAGCACCTGTTATTGGACACAGCACGTGGCCTTTAATTTCTTCCCATCAGAGATAGTGCATTGAACATTTCTAGACTTGATACCTGTCGACTTCTCTGAGATATACACTCAGAAACAGAATTGACAGGTCTAGGGTATGCATGCTAAAGCAGTATGATTTCCAAACAGCAATATCTGAAAGTTCTTGTTGCCACAACCCTCCCAGCACTTGGCATTAACTTTCTTTTTTTTTTTTTTTCTTTGAGACAGAGTCTTCCTCTGCTGCCCAGGCTGGAGTGCAGTGGCATGATCTTGACTCACTTCAGCCTCTGTCCCCTGGGTTCAAGCGATTCTCATGCCTCAAGCCTCCCAAGTAGCTGGGACTACAGGCATGGGCCACTACGCCTGGCTAATTTTTGTTTTTTTTTTTTTTTCGAGACAGAGTTTTGCTCTTGTTGCCCAGGATGGAGTACAATGGTGTGATCTCGGCTCACCTCAACCTCCGCCTCCCGGGTTCAAGTAATTCTCCTGCCTCAGCCTCCTGAGTAGCTGCGATTACAGGCTTGTGCCACCACGCCTGGCTAATTTTGTAGTTTTAGTAGAGACGGGGTTTCTCCATGTTGGTCAGGCTGGTCTCGAACTCCTGACCTCAGGTGATCTGCCTGCCTCGGCCTCCCAAAGTCCTGGGATTACAGGCATGAGCCACTGCGCCCGGCCATAATTTTTGTATTTTTAGTAGAGACAGGGTTTCACCATGTTGGCCAGGCTGGTTTTGAACTCCTGACCTCAAGTGATCTGCCTGCCTCGGCCTCCCAAAGTGCCGAGATTACAGGTGTGAGCCACTGCACCTGGCCTTAACTTTTTCTTTTTTACCAAGGTAATGGATGTAAACCATTTCTTTTTTATTTTAGTTGGTATTTATTGGTTTACCAATTTAGTTTCTCTCCACATGCAATACTACTTTGGTTTTCTTCTTTTATAAATTAAAAAACAGTAGCTTAAGATGTAAATACTCATTCACATGGAAAATATCTGAGGGAAATGGAGATGGCATTAATTTGAAAGAAAAAATGCTAATGCCACCTTTCGAATATGCAAGGGATTTCTTCATGTGTTTTCTAATTTAATTTTTCTGAAAACTCACCTGGCTATGAAATGTCTGTCATTTGACTGTGCGTAATTGTCTTGATTTGTAGTATTTGCTCATTTTGAATAGAACTTATCATATAAATTTCTTGAAAAATCAATAACTTCTTACATAAAGCAGTAAAAATATATTAGTGCATACTTGGTGCTAATTCCTTGGGGCTTGATTCTGTATGGTTTCATTTACCTTGCCAACTTCAGACACATAATCTTATCTCTTGTTCATGCCCATTATCCTTTATCCAGACCAAGTCATCACCGCCTTTGTGGTGTTTTTGCTTAGACAGTTTTCATAGTCTTTATATCTCTGGTTTTATTCTGTTGTAGTATATCATTGCCAGATATATCTGCTTAAATGTGATGTTCTTATGTAATTAAAGTCTTCCAGTAGCTTTCCTGACATATAAAATAGAGCTGGATTTTATATATTTTTTTCCCCCTGTAACAGGGTCTCCCTCTGTTGCCCAGGCTGGAGTGCAGTGGCTTGATCACGGCTTAGTGCAGCCTTGACCTCCTGGGTTCAAATGATCCTTCTACCTCAGCCTCCTGAGTAGCTGGGACTACAGGCGTGCACCACCATGCCCAGCTAATTTTTGTATTTTTGATAGATAGGGTGTTGTCATGTTGCCCAAGCTGGTCTTGAACTCCTGGGCTCAAGTGATCCACCTCCCTCAACCTCCTAAAGTGCTGGGATTACAGGTGTGAGCCACCACGCCCAGCTATGAGTCACACTTTCAATGACCTTCACTTCTTCTCTCTACCTAGCTTTTTAGTGTTACCTGCAGTACATCCTGTTACATGTTTTTCATTTCAACTAAATGCAATTCACCAAATGTGTAGTGTGGGTGCCTGAATCTGTTTCCTTGTTTATACCATTCTCCTACATGGCTGGCCCAAATACTTCTATTCCTAGTTTATCATGTTAAGAATCTTCAACTTTATTACTGTCTTTTACCTCATGCCTTGGATTACTGTTTCCTCTTAGTTTTATTGTTTGCTTTCTCGGGGTCCTTCACCCATTTTCTTGTTAGATGCCGTATTTCTTAAACTGTAGTTTTTTAATGCACAGATACGACGTCTTATGCTCTTCTCTAACTATCACATACTGCTGTTGGTCTATCACATACTGCTGTTAGCCTAACTCCACAAATCAAGGCTATCAGTTTTTATATATGAGTTAACATGTTGCCTCATATTTAATCTTTCACTTAAAAACTATTTTTAGTAATAGACTTGGATAATCACGCATACACCTCCATAATATACTAGAAAAACCTCCAACTTTCCTTCCTGTTCATCTACCCACTACCTGGTAAATGGAGTGTCAGGCTACTTCAAGTTTAAGTGTGGTTTTACTGAATTGCCATAACCTTGAAGGATTCACTCAGACACAGAATTGAAAACAAGTTGGAGATTAAGGATGGTTACCTTCTTACCACCCTTTTTCTGTCTGCAATTTCTCATTGAAGGAGTGACACACAAGGGCTGATAACCACATGTAGAACAAATGCATTACATACATTAATAGCTAGGGAAGCCCTTGATACCCAATGCAGAGCTCTGGTAAAAAACTGGAGCGGAGAACTCTGCTTGGACCAGGAACCCCTAGTGAGACATTCAGACCTCAGATGTCTACCTGTTTTATCCCACAAATCAGAGGCTGAGATGTTGCTACTGCTATGAGAAGATATGTCAAGCCAGAGTATACTGAATTTTGCTAGAGGGAAAGGAGTGGGCTTTTAGAAAATGTGCATTTTTCCTAATGTTAAATTGATGTAAACTATACCATACTGTAGCTGGATAGGCTACTAGGGAAGAAACAGTGTAAAGAAATGACCCAGCTTCCTCTTCTGGAGGTGACAGAAAGGGCTCTGGTCCTTGTATCTATCAACAAGTTAGGAAGTGGTCTAGGGACCATAAATAAAGGAAGTAAAAATATGATTGTGGAGCCTAGTTTTTGCCTTAAGGCACAGCAAAGGGCACTTTTTGTACAATAGGACCAGGTCAGTGTCCCTACTCTGATCAGATCATCTATTCTTACTCGGAGAGGAACAGGATGTGGAGAAAGGCATACAAGCTTCTTCCTCAGAACTCCCAAGCACAGGGAAAATCATTCCTCTATAGGTTGAGTTAGAAGCATGGGCAGATAGAGCCAGGGAGAAGTCCACTTCCCACTTTCTAGGTTAAGATGTTGACAAAGTAGTATAGTATGTCACATTTCAGGATAATTTATTTGATCTAAAACCTATTTTGCCCTGTTACATTTTTCATTATGAATTCTTAAAACAATTCTGAGATTTCCATACTGACCTCAGACCCTTGGAGGAAAAACATGTTTTCCAATTACATTGCAATACATGGAGACTGACCCTCAGTTGGTAATTCCAAGTTCTAGTGTTCCCTTTCTGAACAGATTGCTGTTTTTCCCGTGGTATATTCACTGAGACACAGAATTGAAAACAAGTTGTTTTAGAGATTAATGATGGTTACCTTCTTAGCACTTACCCCTTTTTCTCTCTGCAGTTTCTGCAGGTGTTTTTTGTAGTTGTGTTTAGGAATGTGATACGTAAAGACATATCCTTAGAACCATAGAATAACATATAGTTCAGGGAATTTGACTGTAAGAGACATGAAGAAATTGAAAGCATTTGAGGAAATAGCAAACTCACATCTCATTTTGTGTTTGCTCTCTGGTGTGGTAATGGGTTAAATTGCCTGAATTACTAAGTCACTACTCTCTTTTCTGTGTTTGCCGAACTTATGTAGCTGAATTTAAGTTACAATACTACTTTGTCTTATCTCTTCACTGTTTTCCACCTTCCTTCAATAAGGAACTGTATAAGCATTTGAAGAATAATTTACAGAAAAGCCTGTAGTAGGAGGAGGCCATCTATAGGTAATGTAATGTTGGGGACCATCCAGAGGGCAGGAGGAAGACAGCCGCTTCCAGGTTTGAACTCAGGACAGATCAACCACCTGAGTGTCGTCTGCACTCTCAGAACAGCCCCAGAGTCTTGGACTCCACCAGGGTTTCACAAACTCCTGCCGGAATTCTGAGACTCCCACAGAGAGGCTTTTGACTGTGGATGGATGCAGAATTATTCTTGTGGATGTTGGGATATGAGTGGGTCACCTTCCATTTTGACATCTTGGTCTATCACAATTTCCCAAACATTCTTCTTGATGTTGAGTAATGTGTTTCAACTTCAAGGAAATAACATTTTGATTAAAAAAAAAAAATACAGCCATGGGGCAAGGGTTAGAAAACTTACCTATTGGGTACTGGGTACTATTGTGTAGTATACCAGGGTGACCAGTCATACCCCCACACCTCAGCATCACATAATATACCTCTGTAACAATCCTGCACATGTACCCCATGCTTCTAAAATAAAAGTTGAAAAAGAAAAAAATATGTAGCCATATTATTAAGACTCAATTAAGAGAGGTTATAGTGTTGTACATTTTTCCTTTCTGTCAAATTAAGGATTACATAGAAATTTAAAATAAGATTTTCATAATGTGTTAAATTGTCCACAGGAAATTGAACATTCATTGTATACATTTATGTAGAATTTTAACATGTATACAACCATTATTTAAGACAAGAATAAAGAACCTTAAAATATATACATGTTTTAAAAAATCTCAGTAGTGGATGTTAACAGATGTTAACATCTGTAGCATTGGATCTCATTAGTTTAACAGCTTTGGCAGGCACACCTCATTCATTGTGCTAATGATATCCCTTGTCAGCAGGAAGGAAAGAATATTGATTTATCAAAAGATGAATAGATTTGCATGTTTACTATAAATCCCTGCTGTGAGGATTCCTTTGACTTAGTTTTAAAATGTTTATACAGGTTCTCACTGAGAAGGGAAATGAGGAAAAAGAGAAAAATATGCAGATACCTTTGAGAATTTATAACCTGAGATAAGACTACAACCAAGATAGATTTTAAAATGAAATAATTCACTTGATACAAAGATAAGTATACAAAAATCATTTGTATTGCTATATACTAGTAATCAACAGTTGAAAATAAAATTTTTAAAAGGATCTACTTATAATAGCATCAAAAATATGTAATATTTAGCTTAAATCTAACAATATGCATAGACCTACAAATCATCAGTAAAAGAAACCAAAGGAGACTTAAATGAAGAGCTATACCAGGTTCAGGGACCAGAAGACTATTGTTAAGATGTTAATTTTTTCCTATAGACACAGTGCATTCTCAGTAAAAAATCCAGCAGGCTTTTTTGCAGAGATGAACAGCTTTTTTAAAAATTTTATATGGAAAGGGGAAGGAACTTGAATAGCCAGTAGAATTTTGCAAAAGGGCAGCAAAGTTGATTTAAGATTTACTATAAAGCCACCGTAATCAAAACAGTTGGAATTGGTGAAAGAGTAGACACATAAAGCAGTGGAACAAAGCAAAGAGTCCTCACATATATGGCAATTAATCTTCAACAAAAGTACAAAGAAAATTCCATGTTGAAAGGATGGGATAGTATTTTCAACAAATGGCGCTGTAACAATTGGACATCTACATGCAATTAAAAAAAAAGGAAGAAAGAAAAATACCTTTGACCCATATCTCACTATAGAAAAAACAATGAACTCAAAGTAGGTAATCTAAATGGAGATTCTTAAAAATAGAAGAAAATATAGAATATCTCTGTGTCTTTGGGTTAGGCAAAGTATTCTTAGATACAGCACTAAGCATACTCCATTAAGGAAAACAGTCATAAAATACACTTCTTACAAATTAAAAACTCTTCACAAAAGACAGTTAACAAAAAGGGAAGCCACAAACTGGGACAAAATATTTGGACAATACATATCTGACAAAAGACTTCAATCATAGTAAAACAAACAGCCCAACAAAATAAAATAGACAAAAAGACTTGAACAAATGTTTCACTGAAGAAAGTATACAGATGAGATTTCAGATGCTGGATTTCAAATTGTGGGCTGTCAAGGATGTGGAACAGCTAGAGCTCCTATACATTGCTGGTGGGGATGCAATTTCTTATAAAATTAGAAATATGCTTAACTGTGTGGCCCAGTGACCCCACTTAATAGGTGTCTGCCCAAGAGAAATGAAAACTTATGTTGACATAAAAGCCTGTTTATGAATGTGTGCAGTGGCTTTCTTCATAATTGCCAAAAACAGTGAACAACTTAAATGTTCTTTGCTGGTGAATATAGATAAATAAACTATGGTTCATCTATGGAATATTACTGAGCAATAAAATAATTTTCTGATATACACAGTAACACGAATGAGTCTTACATGCATTATTCTAAGTGAACAAAATCTAAACTTGAAAGACTACATACTGTGTGCTTCCATTTAGATGATGTTCTGGTAAAGGCAAAATTACAGGAACAGAAAGCAGATTGTTGGTTGCCTAAGGGCAAGTGGCCTAAAAAAATTTTGGAAGGGTAATGAAAAAGTTCTAGAGTTTAATGGTGTTTATGGTTATAGGGTGTATGTGTTTGTCCAAATTCATAGAAGTCTACATTTTTAAAAAATGAAATAGTTGTGTAATTATACCACAGTTTTTAAAAGTATTAAATGAAAATAGTTCGCCTTGAATCTTGATTTGTTAATTCATGCTGTTTGGTTGTTACTTAGGAAGGAACTTAAACCATCTTGCTATGGCAACAAAGTTGGTGTATTTTGTACCCATGACACCGTTGTTCATTGAGTATTAAATAATGCTCATTTTTAAACGCATTATTAAATTATAAAAGGAAGCAATGCATTTTGTAATCTAAAAGACACTTCTGTAGTCTCAGTTTGTTTTACATAACCTGCTAAATGAAATTGCCTCTTTAGCACAGTTGGTGTGTGATTTATTGAAAACAAGGAGAGGAAATTTGTTAGGGAAGTTAGGGAGCTCTTTCCACAGAGAAAAAGCTGAGAAAGACTGGAGAAAATTAACGAAACTCCAGGAGAGAGAAGAGATAAAAGCTGATATTAAATCCGGGTCTCAGCAGGAGAATTAAGGTATTTAGGATCAGAGGAGAAAAGATGTAAGGAGAATAGCATTAGGTGAAAACTGGACAATTACAACTTAGAAACCATTGGTAGATAATCTCCTTAGGTACATTATCTTAACTTTCCAAAACAATGCTGCAGTGTTTAGTTTGTAGCAATTTGTTGGAAGGTAGAAATAAACCTTGCAGTAATTTCTTTATTGTTAACTTCTCCTTGTTATAGACTATGAACCTTGTAACCATGAGAGGTATAGAAGAATAATAGATCATGTATTTTTAGATACGTAGCTGTTAAGATCCTTAAGGGAAAGAAACAAGCCCAGTTAGTATTCTGTATCGCACCTTGCATATGCTGAGTGTTCAATAATTGATTAGATGTTTGTTCATGTAGTAACTGAAACAAAATTATTATAGTATGTAAAGCTAATGGGTTTTTTTCTTTCATACCTCTTCAAGGTGGAACAAGCTATTGCTTTCGACCCATTAGCTTCAATACTATTATTATCTCTAGCATCATTTTGTCCTTCCACTGACACTTCTCTGAGCAATATTTTTTTCCCCCTAATGTTCCAACTTCATTATTTTTCATAGGCACTAGTCAAGCTTGCAGATAATGTTCCAACTTTAGACAGATGAATAAGAAAAGTGCCTTTCTTCTTATTTGGAGGGAGGGGGTGGCGGGAGGAGAGTCCATTGAGGATCCTTAGAAAAAGCATTTCAGTATTTTCCCTCCTGTGAGTTTTTGTCTTACATCAGCTCTGTGGTCATGGATGATTTCACAGTCACCAGTGTCACCATTCTTCATCAGCACAGTTAGAAACAGACTTTGGAGTATGGCTTAATAAGAACCTGGCATTTGCTCTATTTTCAGCATTGTCGATGCTCTTCGGAGCCTCAGCCAGATATTTATGTGCATCATTGTAGAAGCACGGAAAAGTGGTAGGAAGAGCTCTTCATTCTTACTACATTTTTAGAATTTTCAGGATTAAAGTTTTTCTTTCTGGGAAAAAAAAATAACTGTAACCATAGCATAAAATATACTTAAAGCACCTGTTACCTCTGTTCTTCCTTAGGCCATTTCCCTTTGAAGAAAGGGTAGAAGTTCGAGCAGGGAGGTCTTGATTGTTGGTTACAAGAAGAGCGGTGACCATGTTTTTTTCTTTTGTAAAAATTTGACATTTAAGTTGTACAGTAGAATTGACTTTTTTTGTGAGTACAGTTCTTTGAATTTTAACATATATATAGATTTCTGTAATCACTGCCACCATCAGGATCAGAGTAGCTTTGTCACCCCCAACAACCCTTGCCCCGTGCTCTTCCTTTAGAGTCGCAGCTCTCCACCATCTCTGTCCCCTGGCAACCACTAACTGTTCTTCATTATTATAGTTTTGTCTGTTTCAGAATAGATATATAACCTTTCAGATGGACATCTTTCAGTATCATGCCTTTGAGATTCATCCAAGTTTTTGCATGCATTATGGTTTAATAAGTAAAATATTTTATATATCACATAAAATACTGTTATTAAAAGTGTGTATCTTTTTAATGCTGATTTTATTTGTTTTCTCCTTTCAGATTTGTGTTTTAAATCCTGTGGTTTTAAAACATTCCCATTGTTTCTTAATTGCAGGAGATTTTGCAGTTCTTCTTAAAGCAGGCATGACTGTAAAGCAAGCAATTGTATACAACCTCCTCTCTGCCATGATGGCTTACATAGGCATGCTCATAGGCACAGCTGTTGGTCAGTATGCCAATAACATCACACTTTGGATCTTTGCAGTCACTGCAGGCATGTTCCTCTATGTAGCCTTGGTGGATATGGTAAGATATTTTATATTTTTTTGTGGTACTAAACCTGCAAATGAAAGAAATCCTTGGAAGTGGTTTGAAGCCAAACTATTTTTGAAAATATAACTCATTTTAAAGACATAATATCCTAAATAATCTCTTAAGGAAGGACATTTAAGTAGGAGGTTTCCTTTTATGGAAACCAGTTGAGTTGCTGAAAATGTCTGTCCATCATGTTACTATTTAAATAATCATTAGTAGTAGAGTTATAATTACAGAATTATTATACTACTTTAAAGACTTTGTAATATTGGTGTAGAAGTGTTTTATTTTTGTTAGCAAAATTAATTTTTTGAGTTTGTTTTATGGCAAACAGGAGAGAAATACTATTCCTGTTAGGTAAGCCAGTCTTCTGGAAGGAAGTGGTATATATTCCATAGGATTTATGTAATTTCTCTTATTTCTAAATTTAGCTTAAAGTTAAATGTAAATGCTAACAATTTGTTTTATTTTGATTTTACTTTAATACCCCAAATATGTTAGACAGTGTATTTACAGAACTAGCAATTAGGTTTTTATGTTTGTTTGTTTGACTAGATAGGACATTTACTTTTTTTTTTCTGGTAAGATCACAGTCTTATTTCAAAATTATGCAGCCTTTTTTTTTTTTTTATGAGATAGGGTCTTGCTCTGTTGCCTAGGCTGGAGTACAGTGGCATGAATATGGCTCACTGCAGCCTTGACCTCCTGGGCTCAAGCAATCCTCCTGCCTCAGCCCCTGAGTAGCTAGGACTACACATACCTGCCACCACAGCCAGCAAAAATATTTTTTTTAAACTTTTTTTTATAGAGATAGGGTCTTTCTATGTTGCCCAGGCTGGTCTCAAACTCCTGGGCCCAAGCAGTCTTCCTGCCTCAGCCTCTCAAAGTGCTGGGATTACAAGTGTGAGCTACCACACCCGGCCCAGCCTAAATTTTTAATCACAGAATTAATGCCTATTTATCATAGAAGGTTTTGAAAATGTAAACAATTGTTTCTTTTTGTTTACAAAGTTACCTAGGAGTAGTCATCTTCCCTGCTGACTTTTAATATCTCATTTCCTATTCTCACCCTCAGCTGATAACCTTGCTTCTGATTTCATGGGGAACACCGAAGCTATCAATCCACAAGTTCTCATCATCACTTCTGCTTACCTTGCTGTATCTATGCCCATTTACATTCTTTCCTGTTACCAAAAGGAAATTTCCTAGCTGGTGCTCCTGCAAACTGTTCCCTAGAACTGATCCTCTCGTGCTGACTCCGTTAAATTCTCCTTTCTCTTTCCCACACCATTTCCCCCCTTCTGCTGGATTATTTCTATTAGCCTATAAACCTCATATTACTTCTCCCTTCTTAAAGAGGTGGGGGACCTCTCTTAGTTCCAACTTCCCCTTTAGCTATCACCCTATTGCTGCTCTCTTTTAGGATATTTTGGTTGGTTTTGTTTTGGGTTATTTTTTGAGACAGGGTCTCACTTTGTTACCCAGGCCGGAATGCAATGGTGCAATCATAGCTCACTGCAGACTCGACTCCCCAGGCTCAAGTGATCCTCCTGCCTCTACCTCCTGAGTAGCTGGGACCATGGGTGCACACCACCATGCCTAATTTTTTTTTTTTTTTTTTTTTTTTGTAGACACGGAGTCTCACTATATTGCCCAGGCTGGTCTTGAATGCCTGGCCTCAAACAATGCTCCAGCCTCAGCCTTCCAAAGTGCTGAGATTATAGGTATAAGCCAACATGCCCTGCCCATTGTTTATTTTTAAATTTTCCTCTTTTTTTGAGCCAAACCTAAGCAGGTTTTCCCCCTGACTTTTCTGCCAGAACTGCTTTTGTCAAATTAACCATTGACCATGGCATCGCTAAGTCTGCTAGTCATTTTCCAGTCTTCATTTTTCTTGTCATAACAGCAGAACTTGACAGTTGGTCATTCTCTTTTCTTTGAAATGCTTTTGTGTCAGTAGGCTTCTGTTTGTTTGTTTATTTGTTTGTTGTGAGACAGTCTTGCTCTGTTGCCCAGGCTGGAGTATAGTGGCATGATCGCAGCTCACTACAACCTCCGCCTCTTGGGTTCAAGCAATTTTCATGCCTCAGCCACCCAAGTAGCTGCGATGACAGGCATGTGCCATCACGCCCAGTCTTTTGTCAGTAGGTTTCTATAATACCACAATTTCCTGGCCTTTTCTCCACCTTGCTGGCTTTTCTCAGACTCTTTACTGGATCCTCCTCTTCTCCCCCTGCATCTAAATGTTGGCAAAAGATGTAAGTAATTTCATCTAGTTTCATGGCTTTAAATATTTGTTGGCTGATGATTCCTAAATTCGTATCTTTATTATAGGCCTTTCCTTTAACTCCAGACTAATCCAACTGTACTTGAATGTCTAAAAGGCATTGTGCACTTGACATGTTCAGAACAGCTCTTGACGTTGCCAACACTACTACTTGACCAGCCTGTCTTGCAGAAGTCTCCATCTCAGAAATGATGATACCTCTATTCTTCTAGTTGCTCAAAAAGCTTGAGTGTTGTCCTTTGACTCAACTTTTTGCCCTCCCACATCTTGTTTGCCAGAAAGTCCTGAGGCCTCTTTCGCCTAACCACCTGTACCCTCATCATTTTCATCCAAGCCACCACCATCTTTCTCTTTTTAACTACTCTCCCTGCTCTGTCCTTGCCCTGCCTTCCAACTCTGTATCAGCTCAACTAGAGCAATCCTTTTAAGCCATAGATCACATCATCACATTTGTATGCTTCACATTGTGGTTTTTCATCCCATTCAGAGTAAAAGTCCTAAAGTTCTTTCTTTGACTTGCAAAGTTTTTCATCATCCTTGAACATTTCCACTCCCTTGTCCTCCTTAGTTTTCCTATCCTTACTTCAAATCCTCCCACTCTCCCTGAGGGACATTCTGCGTCAGGGCTGTGGCACTTGCTGATCACCCCTCCGGAATAGTTTTCCTGCAGACGTCCTCATGGCTAGCTCCTGCTTAGGAGGCATCTTATCTAAAATTTAAATCTCCCCTTCAACATTTCATATCCTCTATCCCTGCTTTACTTTTTCTCCTTTGTACGTGTATCTCAACCTATTAACACCATTTTACTTATTTATCGTGTTCATTGTCTTCCCCACTAAGATGTCAGCTCTGGGAGGACAGGCATTTTTGTCTTATTTTATATACTGCTGGAAATTTAGTTTATATATAGTTAGTATTTCCTTACATCTGTAACACTAGAAAGTTACAGATACAAGAAGAATGAGTCTTTACAGAAAGGATTTATAGTTTAATGAAGAAGAAAAGTCATAACTACAGTTATTTTGATATGTGTTATGATAGAGTTTTGCACCATGTTTGTGGAACTACAGAGAGGCTGGCTAAAAAGTTGGGGAATAGAAAGTTTTTCCATCAAAAAAATCCGAGCTGAGTCCTAAAGAATGGAGTTTATTAGAAGCAAGGGGAAGGGTCGTATGAGGAAGCTGAATGATTTATAACATCATTCCTTTGAACAGTAAGTCTATAGCTAGGACTATATTCTGAGGAAATAACATGACTACTCCTGATAAAACAAGCAAACAAAAATAAAACCTCACTACGTGGTTCTTTGCAGTAGTATTTATAATGTCACAATTATATTGGAAACACTCTAAATGTTCAAGAGAAAGGGAAGAAACTGTCCACATATATTTTGTGAGATTTTAATGACCCAGAAATTGGGTATTTTCTAATGTTAAGTAGGAAAAAATGGATCCATATTGTCGTCAGGTAGGTGTTGGCCATATCCTGACAGTCGCACAACATGCCATACCAAAAAGATGAGAGTTTATCTTGTAAACTTTGGAGAGCCATGAAAAAGTTTAAGCAGTAGAATGACATGATCACATTTTTGTTTCAGAAAGACTTTGGCTCTATGGAGGAAGACTTTTATTGATTTAAAGCCATTCAATAAGATATCAACAGTACCAGAAGTTTTAGTTTGAGATACCTATAGGATAACCAGGTGGAAGTATCTAGTTGTAGAGGACTTTGGGTGGTGCTGTTTATCAATCAGTATCAAAGCATTTTTATGTAATATTTTAAACAAATATGGCCATACCGGTAGGTGTTGGTTGGCTCTTAGCTGTGGTTATGACAAACAGTGTGGGTGTTGACATTCAGGTTAGAATTAAATGTGGCAAAGCCATAGTTCCTATTCTAGTTGGTATGTATACATATCTAGAGGGCATATTTCTGTAAAACATGCTGCATATTGTTTATGCTTAAGTATTTAAGGAAAGTCATAATGAAAAATCTTTGTAACAATAAAAACTTGGAAGGAGGAGAAAGGATAGAGTAAAATAGTCTTACTAGAACCATATGTAGGAAGCTGTCAGTTTGAAGGGCCAGATAGTAGATGGTTTAGGCTTTGGGGACCATATGGTTTCTGTCACAGTTTTTCAACTCTGCTGTGGTAGTGTGTGGTTCCTGGGACAGCGCCTCTGCTGTTGTAGCACAAAAGCTGCCATAGACAATGTGTAAATGAATAGGCATGGCCAGATTCAGCATGGTTTGCCAACCCTTAGACCATTAGTTGATTTGATAAAGTGATTTTGTGAATGGTTTGGACAAGAAAATAATCTTTACTAGCTATTATATACCATTACCATAGACTTTTAAACAGAATTTATGATAGCATGCTGTAGTTCTTAAATATGACCTTTAAGAGATTGCTAAAATATACCATAGCACTGTCAGAGCATGGTGGTTAGATTAATTGTACCCATTATTTAATAACAAATAATGATGTTTCTTCCTAGACAGGAAGAAGTATGAATTAAGAATTATGTGACTTAACACTAGATTTCTCCTCCCTAAACCCAAATCACCAAGATACTGTTTTGGAGCAAAACGTAGTGTCCCAGAGGGTAGCATATCAGTGTCATCTTTCTGTAGATAATGACTGCAAATTTGAATTATGTTTGCAGAAAAGTGAAAGTAAAAATTGGAAGTAGCAATTCCTTCACAATTTTAGATTAGGTTTGGGTGGAAAGAATGTATGCCTATAATGATGCAAATGTATTTCTTCCACAAATCTTATTTACTTAGACAAATTAAAGGAATTTAATTTTTATATTTTGAATCTACAGATTATTCTTAGATGTAATAGTATGTGGTATGCTTTAGAAATTAAGTATATAAACTTTTCTTTTCTTTTTTTTTTGAGACGGAGTTTTGCTCTTGTTGCCCAGGACGGAGTACAGTGGCGCAATCTTGGCTCACCGCAACCTCCGCCTCCTGGGTTCAAGCAGTTCTCCTGCCTCAGCCTCCTGAGTAGCTGGGATTACAGGCATGCACCACCATGCCCAGCTGATTTTGTATTTTTAATAGAGACGGAGTTACTCTATGTTGTTCAGGCTGGTCTCAAACTCCCGACCTCAGTTGATCTGCCCGCCTCGGCCTCTCAAAACTGCTGGGATTACAGGCATGAGCCACAACGCCCAGCCATATATAAACTTTTCAAAGCACTGTGCCTTCAAAGATGTGATAATTTTCAGAATTTTGAAATTTTAACAATATTAAGAGAATACACTGTGAGGGCAGTGTGCATGACTTGGTACTAGTTATGCTGGATAGCTCTGCTAGGTTGTTTTCTGTGTCTGTTATTGGAATGAAAGCAATGGCATAAGGGCATAGAGATGCCAATTTGGATTTGTCCCCAAGTATCTCTTTGCTGTCATGAGCAGTGGGAAATAAGAATTTCAAGTGGAAAAGAGTGAAGAAGTGAAACCATTTTGAATTAGGCCATTTCCCAAAAGAATCTTCCTTTTTTTTTAAAAAAAAAAAAAAAAAAAAAGTTTTTTTGAGATGGAGTTTTGCTCTGTTGCCCAGGCTGGAGTGCAGTGGTGTGATCTCAGCTCACTGCAACCTTTGCCTCCCAGGTTCAAATGATTCTCCTGCCTCAGCCTCCCGAGTAGCTGGGACTACAAGCGTGCCCCACCACGCCCAGCTAATTTTTGTATTTTTATGGGTTTCACCATATTGGCCAGGCTGGTCTTGAACTCCTGACCCCATGATCCGCCCACCTCGGCCTTCCAAAGTGCTGGGATTTATGGGCGTGAGCCACCGTGCCCGGCCCAAGAATCTTGCTTTCTTATTGAGTTTAAGATACATTAGTAAATGTGGGAATTGTGGTGATCGGTTTTTGGAGTGTCTTATTGGTAATAAGTTGCTTTATGCTTTAGCATAAAGTAAAATGTCAGAATTTATAAGGTCAGTGGATAGTAACTGTTTGAAAAATGACTAATGTGCATATTTTAAGTGTTTGTTGTGGGGGATGAGGAGGAGGGAACAGAGTTAGTATTTCCTAGCAAAAGCATAAAATTTCTTCAGTATTTGACTAAAATACATCTGGTGGGTAGCATTGTGTTCAATAAAATAATTATTTTGTCTGTAGTTACACTTCAGTCACTAATTTTCTTAAGTAGGAAAATGTTTTTAAAAACTGTTTTGAGCAGAAGTATTATACAAAGTTTAATGTGAAGATTTATTTTTCTAGCTTCCAGAAATGTTGCATGGTGATGGTGACAATGAAGAACATGGCTTTTGTCCTGTGGGGCAATTCATCCTTCAGAATTTAGGATTGCTCTTTGGATTTGCCATTATGCTGGTGATTGCCCTCTATGAAGATAAAATTGTGTTTGACATCCAGTTTTGACCTTTCCCAGTAATCACTGTTGATTACGAGAATGTTACCATGCAGCTTTGCATCTGTTCCTTGTACTGTATGCACATTGCTCAAAGGAAAGTCAGTGGCTTGCACTACTTACAAGTTTCATAGATTTGAGCCTAACCACAAGAGGCTGGTGCTTAGTACTGTTTTCCCTGCACGTAGGGGTCTTTTAAAAATATAAAGCTTGTGATAAAGAGAGGAGAATATGGGACTCCATGAACCAGTGTTGATATGTTTGATTAAGACTTTTCACAAAATAATCATATAAAACACTAGTCTCTTTATTAGTAGAAACTTCTGTGGCTATGCAGAAATAGAGATCGAACCAAAAAAAATCATTTAAACTTTAAAAATATTTTAAATGGACTTTGGGGAGACATTTTTTGTGTGTTTTAAGAATGAATTGTAGTGCTCTTTAATTCAGCTACATATATTCATGTGGTGATAGGGATCAACTTGACACAACTTTGAAACTGCATAAAGTAGACATAGGAACTAGAGGAAAGCTCAGGCTGCATTAGAGTATGAATTTAGCATTGGGAAAAGCCCTTATTCTTGAATCTAGAGTTACTATTTTTGTATATATTTGCATAGTGTTTAAACCTGCAGCCTAAACTACTGAAATTTGTGATTGTATGTTTGTGTGAGCTTCAGTTTAATGAAAGATTCATAATGGTTCTTTGTATTATTATAATACTTGGTGTTGGGGTGTTCTTTCTGTTTTGTTTTTTACTTTAATTTTGTTTTGATTTTTTTTTTTTTTTTTTGGCGGGGGTAGGTGAGGGTTTGGAGCATGTGGTCTTTTTAAAAAATTGTAACCCTCTAGAAAATATCAAAGAAATGAACCAGACGTGGTTTAAATAGTTGATTTTCCTATTTTAACAGTACCAACTAGTTAATTGGGAAATGTAAGTTCTGAATGTTCACATTGCTTTACCAGTTTGGCACTGGAACCAAGAGCACATGTCGTGGCTGGCTACAAGGTTGTAAAGCAGAAAATCGAAGTTTACCATGTCTGTAATGTGTACATGAAGTGTCAATTTAGAACAGTTACTAGGATAAACTCCATTATTGCCATGGCTGTCATGGTACCCAAGTGACTTGGAAGATGCATTTAAATTACTCAGCTGAAATCACTTGATCATCTTGTGCCAAGATATGCTGTTGGTGCCTGATAGGGATTAGTCTTTTAGGTGCCCTGTTCTCCTACCATAATTGTGAATGATTTGTGAGAAGTGCAAGCCATGTTTATCCTGAATTTTTACTTAATAATTTGTATTACTAGTCATATGCATGTAGCTTTCTGTTTACATCCTATGCCACATGGTCTTCATTTATGCCAGGTAAACTGTATTTGAACTATGTGCAGCTAGCTTTGTTTTAATCTGCTTGGCAACCAGTGTAGCTGCTGTAACAATCTATCTTATTGTTCAAATATATAAGAGCCAAACTCTTTTCCATTCCATCTAAAATGTTTTCATTTAGTACTCTTCTTTCCTCCTACTCTATGAACTTCAAAACAAAAACAAAACTTTGAGAGCAGCACATGCATCCAGGTATTTATAGATTATTGCCAGTGTCTTTTCTGTATGCTATAAGCAAGGGAGCTTAGGTGTTATTTCTTTAATTTATGCTTGAATCTGAAAAATTATTTCTGACTTACTCCATGGCCTCCTTATAATAAGTAGAAGTTTTATATATAATTAATTTTCAGCATTGGGCACTGAATTAGGACAGTCCTCATCTCATTGCTTGGCCCTTCAAGCAACCTAGCTAAAAGGTGCTGATATTTTATTTAGTACTGCCAACTTCAAGTGATTTAGATATCTATCTATCTAGATTTCTGAACCAAGATATATTTATAGTTCACTTTTGGGTTTTTATACCCACGGTAGGATTCTGCATTCCAGCATTAAATCTGCTTCATTTTAGAACCTTTATAAAAGCAATAGCTGGAATATACTCCCAGTTTTAAAATAAATGCCTGATTGATTTAAAGCAAGTAGGTTATGCTGAAGTATATAAAGAAGTTTTATATTCTCTCAAAAATGGTATTATCTTTCTTTATTTGCTAGATTCTTACAAATCTTTTAAGAGGGCTGTAACAGTTGCTGCTAGTATTAGGGTTCCACATCATTCTAATGTATAGTTTCAAGTCTTAATAGACAATCTGAATTCCACTACATTTCTTTTGGCTCCAACATTCCTTTTAGCTTGACCAGTCTAATTTAAAATGTGTTTGTTGGAGGTCATTAACGTTACTTGTACAATGCTGTCACTGTGTGACATCCATATGAATTTTGGTATATATCAATCAATCAATCAATCACATTGCATTCAATCAATCAGCTGTGATTGATTGATTATGCTTAGAAATACTATAGTAACTAGATGCAGTGTGAATTTTTTCCATTAACAAACAAACAAGTCAGTGGCTTAAATGTGATTATGGTCCTGCAAGGTGATTCTTGCTAAAATATCTAAACTTTTGTTTTGTTTTAACTGAATCATTTTTTAACTTAAAAAGCTGGAAAATATCAAATGCTGTTTTTTTTTTTTCATTGTCAACAGTGGTGTGTCATTTTATGTATGTTCCTAATGCTTATGGAACTCCTCCAAAATAAAGTTACTCAAAGAGAGCAAATATGCCAGTGTGTTTTCTTTAGTCTTTATTTCAGAACATTTCCTTACATTTAAGTATGAGTCATATTAAGTTTAGCTGCATTTGCTCATAAGTAAATTCATAATTATAACTTTAGTCAAATGTATTTAAACAAACAAAAAAAAAGGTTTAAGTAGTAAAATATGCTTTCTCTACTCAGCCAGCCAACAAGAAATAGGAACAAGGAAATGATGTCTTCTGGTTATGAATTAAGTTGACATAACAGTGCTACACCTCGTCCAATCCAGTGTTCCTTGGGTTGGTCAGAGGGAAGAGTCATGGCAATCACAAAATTCGTGGAATGGCCAGTGGTGGATAATACTCCTCTCCGCTCACTTGTCTTATACAATGGAGCAACATAACTTGGCCGTTTTGGTATATCTGCCCTCTTACAGGGCTTTAGCCACATCTGGAAGAAAGTACATAACACCTCTTTAAGTCAAGGCTGTTTGTTAAATGTACATGTGTTTGAGCCTACTATAGTATTCTCAGAGTAAGGTTATGCATGCAGATTTCTGTGGCCCAAATTTATTTTCACCAGCAGTGTTGTTGTGATTGCTCAAAACATTTTATAGAACTCTCATAACTGAAAAAAATAGTTTTCGCCTTCTCTTTCTAAAAGCATATTTTCTACCTATTTATCTCTCACTCAGCCACAATTACCTGGGAAATGACTTTTAGTGCTTACAATGATAAAAAAAAAATCAGATACACTTTCAAAGGAGAGAATTGCCACACTGATACTGAGAATCATGTGCCTTTATATTAATTGAAAGCCAGTCCCAAAAAATTCTGAAGGGATTTTTATCAACAGCTGTATAGCTAGAGAACCTTCCCATTTTAGGAGACTATTATAAAGGAGATAGATACTATATATATTATGCTGTTTAAAATATAATTGCATTCCTTTATAACCACAATCTATACCCCATTCTTTTTAGTCATTAAATTCCTACAATTTGTTATTAGACCTCATCAATCTTAAAAATAAGATTTTGAGGCAGTTTGATCTTTGAATGTAAGAGTAAGAACAAACTATGTTCATAAAGATATTTTAGAATTTAATTCAATTTATTTTTCTGGAGTGGAAGTAATAGCAATCCTCGAGATGATAGGACTTGACAGCCCCAATGTTCAGACCCCTCTTTTAGGTTTCTCAGGTCAAAACACAGATTGTTGAAGGAGCTTATAAGGATGCCAGTTTCTCTATTTCTCCCACTTAACTGTGGAATCCAGATTTTCATAAGGGGGATCCACAAGGCAGTTTTGCAAATACTAACTACAATGTAAAACTCGAAGCACTCTTCCTAACTCAGATTTCATTTCAACCCCAGGGGATTTTTCTAATGAGAATTTTTATTTCTAACTAGCTGCTTATTCAGGAGAATCATTATCCATTTATAAATTAATTTCTTCTTGTACACACTGCAAGCTACTTAAGAGTTTCCATGTGAAAGAAAGACTAAATTTCGATCAGCTCCTGAAATTGCATTTATTTGTCCTTGAAACTTTCAATTTGGGTCTTGTATTTTAAACTTTTGTGCCCATGGTATTTTAAAATGTATGACAGCTTTCTCGCAATTGGCTGTCAGTTGACCCCTCACTGATCCTGTTACAGTTGCTCTGAAGGGGTTTTTAACCTGTCTTTGAGCTGCTGCCAGAATCCTGCAAAGAAAATTCACATAAATCCCACTGCCTATATTTTATCACAGCATCCCAGATCTACCCTTCAAATTGCTATTTTCTTAAGCCATTTTCTCATGATGCAGTTATAGATTGAATCTTAATTATATTTTACAAAGCTTAATCTGCCAATACTGGATAGGTGCCTAGGAAATGTGGCTTTTTAAATTGATGGTTTTTGTAATCTTTAATCTGCAAATTTCACATTTTCAAGTCAAAGTATAAGAAAAATATAATGAACACGTGTGTGTGTATGTATATACAGTGGACCTCACTATTTGTGGATTCCACATTTCCAAATTTGCCTACTCACCAAAGTTTATTTCTAATCCTAAAATCAATTGGCAGCATTGTCACGCTCCTTGGTGGACATTTGCAGAGCATCAAAGATTTGCATCATCCAACACACGTTCCCAGCTCGGGTTGAACCAGGTGAGGCTCTGCTTTCTTGTTTCACCTCATAACCGTAAACAAGTGTCCTTTTCGTGGCCTATTTAGTACCAGGTTTTTCACATTTTTGTGTTTTTGTTGGCGATTTCACTGTTTAAAATGACCCCCATGTGTAACACAGTGCTGTTTTTTTGTTTTGTTTTGTTTTGGAGATGGAGTTTCACTCTTGTTGCCCAGGCTGGAGTGCAATGGTGCGATCTAAGCTCACCGCAACCTCCACCTCCCAGGTTCAAGCGATTCTCCTGCCTCAGCCTCCCTAGTAGCTGGGATTACAGGCACCTGCCAACACACCCGGCTAATTTTTGTATTTTCAGTAGAGACTGGGGTTTCTCCATGTTGGTCAGGCTGGTCTCAAACTCCCGACCTCAGGTGATCCGTCTGCCTTGGCCTCCCAAAGTGCTGAGATTACAGGTGTGAGCCACTGCGCCCAGCCAGTGCTAAGTGCAAGAAGGCTGATGCGCCTCATAGAGAAAATATTAGCTCATGCCTCAACGAAGCTCATAGCATTTTGACCATGAGTTAATGTTAATGACTCAACATTGTGTATTAAATAAGGTGTCTTTAAACAGACACAAAATAAAGGTTATTTACTGATCAGCTAACAAAAATGTTGTGACCAAAGAAAGAACCCTGTATTTATTTCCCCAGGAGCAATGGTTCAGTATTTGCTAATTCAATGTTGGAAGCAACTTTATAGAACATAATTACCATGAATAACAAGAATTGACTGTATATGTGTGTGTGTGTGTGTGTGTGTGTGTGTGTATATATATATATATATATATATATATATACATATACACACACACATATGTATACACATATATACACACAATATGGGGTCTATTTTATATATAATATATAAAATATGTATAAAATAATTCCACATGTATATATAATTAGAATTTACTAACCACAGGCACTGTATCATAAAGAATTTTGGGATGCGATTCTGCAAGTTTCTTGATCTTTCTATTCCAGGAAGCTCCATCCAGAAATAATCCGTGAATGAAAACACCTAAATATAAAAGAAACACATTAATATAACACTTGAAATATGCATTTTGATTGAGTTCTGAATCTGAAATTTCTACATGTAAGTACTATGCAGGTGATACTAGATTTGCAGCCTAAGATTTGTTCTCCAATGAAAGCAATCTCCTGAGTGTTTTAACATCCATATTTCAAGAACATTGAAACTTTGCCTAGTGAAATAAGACAATAGTAAAATTAGGTGTGGAAGACGAGAGGAAAGAAATTTTAAACAGGTCTATGGGAAGTTCTCAGTGTGTGTGTGTGAACATTATCAAATTTATATTGTTAATTGGTCAATGATTATACTGTGTTTTCAGAAGCTGTGAAATCTAGGGAAAAAAATAGTTCTTAATGTAATAGGGATCCAGTGGTGGCTAGTGGGCAGCATATGAACAAAGTACCCTTCTGCAGATCTCTAATGTCGTAAGAGTTAAATTGCTCCTCCCCTTTTAGAATTTATTCTTACTGCCAAGAGCTCTCCTTAGTCTGTTGATGATGAAAGACACATGATGAACTCTCTCTAGAATGTCATGTTGTACACTAACAGCTAAAGAGTACAATTTAGGCAATCAGTGAAACATGAGTTACTTTCTTTGGCTTTACATATCAGTAAAGCCTCATGGATTGGAGTCTGCAGGTAAAACTGATTGTAACAGTACAGATGTCAAGCAATGTAGACTTTGGGAAGACCAAAGTTTTAGTTCCTAATTTGTTGTGTGACCTTGAGCAATTAATTTAACTTCAAAACCTGTTTTGTCA
Source organism: Homo sapiens (assembly GCF_000001405.40). Classification (NCBI taxonomy): domain Eukaryota; kingdom Metazoa; phylum Chordata; class Mammalia; order Primates; family Hominidae; genus Homo; species Homo sapiens. The sequence continues at coordinate 195,741,646 of NC_000002.12, forward strand.
TCTGGAGAACAACCTTAAAAACATTTGTAAAATAGTAATATCTGTTTTGTCCACCTTGTAGAGTTGTTAGAATCAAATCAGCTAACATAGGGGGAAATGCCTTTGTAGAGTAGCATATGAAAATCTACTTGAGCAGTGCTGTCCAGTAGAACATTTTGCAGTGATGGAAATGTTCTATGTGTTGTCCTGTATGGTAGCCGCTAGCTATAAGAGGCTGGTATTAGTAAGCTGAACACTTGAAATGTGGCTGGTGTGACCAAATAACTGAATTTTAAATTTTATTTTAATTATAGTTAAATTTAAATGGCCACATGTGGATAATTTAATGATAGAGTTGAGGGAAAGACTTACCCTTTCTCTTCTCTGGGTTTTAGCTGATGGGAAGAATACGTCGGAATATAGTATCAGTTTTATTAATTGACAAAGCACTTGTCCAATAACTGCCAGTGTATAACTCTGGTAAAGCTGGATTGCAAAATGGACCTTGATTCCAGGGCAGTGGAGGGGTGGACTTGCGTGAGGGGAGAGATGGGTCTGCAGAGCACATTCTGCGTCTTTACCTCTGTGGCCAGCTCTAAGGCCTGTCCATCAGTCACCAAAACAGGTGGGGATAGGGCAAAGTAAGAGAACTTTATAGTATGGAATACAATGGAAAAGAAAGAGAACCTACACACAGGTCCAAGTGAGCTATTTAATACCCTGCCTCACTGACTCGAAAACATTGCCCAACAAATTTCTGCCTCTAACCAATCAGATTAGTTATTCCTCATTTGGGAAGAGTGATAATATAATAGAAAGTAAACAAAAGAGTTCATTTCAACACCTAGAAAAGTGGTGATAGGGATAAACGTTCTTTCCAACCCATCAATTGTATAGGAGATATAATGAGAATCTTTAAATACATTCTTATTTCTCATGGCTAGTAAGGACCATGAGGATATAGATACATAGAATATATAGAAAATGACAGGTAGATGTTAACAGGTCCTTTTTAACAGCTGTCCTGCTCTATGAGTGATGCCCTTTGCCATCTGTGAGATGTCATCAGCACATAGTGTCAGCTATGGTTTTTCTAGTTCCTCTCTTTTACACTATTCTCTGCCTCCCTTCATGCTGTGCAGTGCTGTCAACTGGTGACTGAGTCACCTAGTAGTACCTAGCAATTCAGATAAGAGGAATCTTAGGTAATTGCATCTACAATATAGGATGCTGTGACGATTAATATTGTCAACTTGATTGGGTTGAAGTATGCAAAATATTATTCCTGGGTGTGTCTAAGAGGGTGTTGCCAAAGGAGATTAACATTTGAGTCAATTGGATTGGGAGAGGCAGACCCACCCTCAGTGTGGGTGGACACCATCTAATCAGCTTCCAGTTCAGCTAGAATAAAGCAGGCAGAAGTTGGAAAGAGCAGACTTGCTAAGCCTTCTGGCCTTCATCTTTCTCCCATGCTGGATGCTTCCCACCCTTAAACATCAGCCTCCAAGTTCTTTGGCTTTTGGACTTTCGGACTTACTCTAGTGGTTTGCCAGGGGCTCTTGGGCCTGCGGCCACAGACTGAAGGCTGCGCTGTCTGCTTCCGTACTTTTGAGGTTTTGGGACTGGGACTGATCCACTACTGGCTTCCTTGCTCCTTAACTTGCAGACGGCTTATCGTGGGACTTTACCTTGTGATTGTGTGAGTCAATTCTCCTTAATAAACTCCCTCTCATATATACATATATCCTATTAGTTCTGTCCCTCTAGAGAACCCTAATACAGATTTCAAATACTAAAAAACGTTCAGCAGCACTGTAGCCTTTAGGTGCCCCTTTTCATTGTATTTTAATTTAATCTTAGCTATATAAGGATGACAGTGTTATGAGGCCCAGACCCTAGAAACAGGAACATAACAAAAATATGTCTAAAGTATGGTAAAGGGGTAGAGATTGGAAAAAAAGAAACTTGGCTTCTATCCCAAGCTGTTCTCAGGTGGGATCTATGTCCCTCCCACTAGGGTCCTATGAGAAAGTGATTCCTTGGGGAAAAACCCATTTATCTAAATCATTCCATGGATTCTCTATTTCTTTCTGATAATTAGCTAAGTAGGAAGGAAAAAGCTAGGATGACAAAAAGGCTAATTTGTGGATATATGTGCTTATTGGTGAAACGTATATTGTGCATTGGTAAGTAAATAAAGTTCAAGATTTTGCAGAAATGTATCAGCTATTATAAATTAAGCCTGCACCGGACACCTTTCAAGATGGCCAAATAGGAACAGCTCCAGTCTACAGCTCCCAGCATGAATGACACAGAAGACAGGTGATTTCTGCATTTCCATCTGAGGTACCGGGCTCATCTCACTAGGGAGTGCCAGACAGTGGGTGCAGGACAGTGGGTGCAGCGCACCATGCGCCACCCGAAGCAGGGCAAGGCATTGCCTCACTCGGGAAGCGCAAGGGGTCAGGGAGTTCCCTTTCCTAGTCAAAGAAAGGGGTGACAGACACCACCTGGAAAATCGGGTCACTCCCACCCTAATACTGCCCTTTTCTGACGGGCTTAAAAAACGGCGCACCAGGAGATTATATCCCACACCTGGCTCGGAGGGGCCTACGCCCACGGAGTCTCGCTGATTGCTAGCACAGCAGTCTGAGATCAAACTGCAAGGCGGCAGTGAGGCTGGGGGAGGGGCGCCCGCCATTGCCCAGGCTTGCCTAGGTAAACAAAGCAGCCAGGAAGCTTGAACTGGGTGGAGCCCACCACAGCTCAAGGAGGCCTGCCTACCTCTGGGGGCAGGGCACAGACAAACAAACAAAAAGACAGCAGTAACCTCTGCAGACTTAAATGTCCCTGTCTGACAGCTTTGAGGAGAGCAGTGGTTCTCCCAGCATGCATCCGGAGATATGAGAACGGGCAGACTGCCTCCTCAAGTGGGTCCCTGACCCCTCACCCCCGAGCAGCCTAACTGGGAGGCATCCCCCAGTAGGGGCAGACTGACACCTCACACGGCCGGGTACTCCTCTGAGACAAAACTTCCAGAGGAACAATCAGACAGCAGCATTCACGGTTCACGAAAATCCGCTGTTCTGCAGCCACCGCTGCTGTTACCCAGGCAAACAGGGTCCGGAGTGGACCTCTAGCAAACTCCAACAGACCTGCAGCTGAGGGTCCTGTCTGTTAGAAGGAAAACTAACAAACAGAAAGGACATCCACACCAAAAACCCATCTGTACATCACCATCATCAAAGATCAAAAGTAGATAAAACCACAAAGATGGGGAAAAAACAGAGCAGAAAAACTGGAAACTTTAAAAAGCAGAGCGCCTCTCCTCCTCCAAAGGAATGCAGTTCCTCACCAGCAACGGAACAGAGCTGGACGGAGAATGACTTTGACGAGCTGAGAGAAGAAGGCTTCAGACGATCAAACTACACTGAGCTACAGGAGGAAATTCAAACCAAAGGCAAAGAAGTTAAAAACTTTGATAAAAATTTAGACGAATGTGTAACTAGAATAACCAATAGAGAGAAGTGCTTAAAGGAGCTGATGGAGCTGAAAGCCAAGGCTCAAGAACTACGTGAAGAATGCAGAAGCCTCAGGAGCCGATGCGATCAACTGGAAGAAAGGGTATCAGTGATGGAAGATGAAATGAATGAAATGAAGCGAGAAGGGAAGTTTAGAGAAAAAAGAATAAAAAGAAATGAACAAAGCCTCCAAGAAATATGGGATTATGTGAAAAGACCAAATCTACGTCTCATTGGTGTACCTGAAAGTGACGAGGAGAATGGAACCAAGTTGGAAAACACTCTGCAGGATGTTATCCAGGAGAACTTCCCCAATCTAGCAAGGCAGGCCAACATTCAGATTCAGGAAATACAGAGAACGCCACAAAGATACTCCTCGAGAAGAGCAACTCCAAGACACATAATTGTCAGATTCACCAAAGTGGAAATGAAGGAAAAAATCTTAAGGGCAGCCAGAGACAAAGGTCGGGTTACCCACAAAGGGAAGCCCATCAGACTAACAGCAGATCTCTGGGCAGAAACTCTACAAGCCAGAAGAGAGTGGGGGCCAATATTCAACATTCTTAAAGAATTTTCAACCCAGAATTTCATATCCAGCCAAACTAAGCTTCATAAGTGAAGGAGAAATAAAATACTTTACCGACAAGCAAATGCTGAGAGATGTTGTCACCACCAGGCCTGCCCTAAAAGAGCTCCTGAAGGAAGCACTAAACATGGAAAGAACAACCGGTACCAGCCACTGCAAAATCATGCCAAATTGTAAAGACCATCAAGGCTAGGAAGAAACTGCATCAACTAACGAGCAAAATAACCAGTTAACATCATAATGACACAATCAAATTCACACATAACAATATTAACTTTAAATGTAAATGGACTAAATGCTCCAATTAAAAGACACAGACTGGCAAATTGGATAAAGAGTCAAGACCCATCAGTGTGCTGTATTCAGGAAATCCATCTCACGTGCAGAGACACATAGGCTCAAGATAAAAGGATGGAGGAAGATCTACCAAGCAAATGGAAAACAAAAAAAGGCAGGGGTTGCAATCCTAGTCTCTGATAAAACAGACTTTAAACCAACAAAGATCAAAAGAGACAAAGAAGGCCATTACATAATGGTAAAGGGATCAATTCAACAAGAAGAGCTAACTATCCTAAATATATATGCACCCAATACAGGAGCACTCAGATTCATAAAGCAAGTCCTGAGTGACCTACAAAGAGACTTAGACTCCCACACAATAATAATGAGAGACTTTAACACCCCATTGTCAATATTAGAGATCAACGAGACAGAAAGTTAACAAGGATATCCAGGAATTGAACTCAGCTCTGCACCAAGCGGACCTAATAGACATCTACAGAACTCTCCACCCCAAATCAACAGAATATACATTTTTTTCAGCACCGTAACACACCTATTCCAAAATTGACCACATAGTTGGAAGTAAAGCTGTCCTCAGCAAATGTAAAAGAATAGAAATTATAACAAACTGTCTTTCAGACCACAGTGCAATCAAACTAGAACTCAGGATTAAGAAACTCACTCAAAACCACTCAACTACATGGAAACTCAACAACCTGCTCCTGAATGACTACTGGGTACATAACGAAATGAAGGCAGAAATAAAGATGTTCTTTGAAACCAACAAGAACAAAGACACAACATACCAGAATCTCTGGGACACATTCAAAGCAGTGTGTAGAGGGAAATTTATAGCACTAAATGCCCACAAGAGAAAGTAGGAAAGATCCAAAATTGACACCCTAACATCACAATTAAAAGAACTAGAAAAGCAAGAGCAAACACATTCAAAAGCTAGCAGAAGGCAAGAAATAACTAAAATCAGAGCAGAACTGAAGGAAATAGAGACACAAAAAAACCCTTCAAAAAATTAATGAATCCAGGAGCTGGTTTTTTTGAAAGCATCAACAAAATTGATAGACCGCTAGCAAGACTAATAAAGAAGAAAAGAGAGAAGAATCAAATAGACGCAATAAAAAATGATAAAGGGGATATCACCACCGATCCCACAGAAATACAAACTACCATCAGAGAATACTACAAACACCTCTACGCAAATAAACTAGAAAATCTAGAAGAAATGGATAAATTCCACAACACATATATCCTCCCAAGACTAAACCAGGAAGAAGTTGAATCTCTGAATAGGCTCTAAAATTGTGGCAATAATCAATAGCTTACCAACCAAAAAGAGTCCAGGACCAGACGGATTCACAGCCTAATTCTACCAGAGGCACAAGGAGGAACTGGTACCATTCCTTCTGAAACTATTCCAATCAATAGAGAAAGAGGGAATCCTCCCTAACTCATTTTATGAGGCCAGCATCATCCTGATACCAAAGCCAGGCAGAGACACAACCAAAAAAGAGAATTTTAGACCAATATCCTTGAACATTGATGCAAAAATCCTCAATAAAATACTGGCAAACCAAATCCAGCAGCACATCAAAAAGCTTATCCACCATGATCAAGTGGGCTTCATCCCTGGGATGCAAGGCTGGTTCCATATATGCAAATCAATAAATGTAATCCAGCATATAAACAGAACCAAAGACAAAAACCACATGATTATCTCAATAGATGCAGAAAAGGCCTTTGACAAAATTCAACAACCCTTCATGCTAAAAACTCTCAATAAATTAGGTATCGATGGGACATATCTCAAAATAATAAGAGCTATCTATGACAAACCCACAGCCAATATCATACTGAATGGGCAAAAACTGGAAGATTCCCTTTGAAAACTGGCACAAGACAGGGATGCCCTCTCTCACCACTCGTATTCAACATAGTGTTGGAAGTTCTGGCCAGGGCAATCAGGCAGGAGAAGGAAATAAAGGGTATTCAATTAGGATAAGAGGAAGTGAAATTGTCCCTGTTTGCAGATGACATGATTGTATATCTAGAAAACCCCATTGTCTCAGCCCAAAATCTCCTTAAGCTGATAAGCAACTTCAGCAATGTCTCAGGATACAAAATCAATGTGCAAAAATCACAAGCATTCTTATACACCAATAACAGACAAACAGAGAGCCAAATCATGAGTGAACTCCCATTCACAACTTATTCAAAGAGAATAAAATACCTAGGAATCCAGCTTACAAGGGACGTGAAGGACCTCTTCAAGGAGAACTACAAACCACTGCTCAATGAAATAAAAGAGGATATAAACAAATGGAAGAACATTCCATGCTCATGGGTAGGAAGAATCAATATCGTGAAAATGGCTGTACTGCCCAAGGTAATTTACAGATTCAATGCTATCCCCATCAAGCTACCAATGACTTTCTTCACAGAATTGGAAAAAACTACTTTAAAGTTCATATGGAACCAAAAAAGAGCCCACATCGCGAAGTCAATCCTAAGCCAAAAGAACAAAGCTGGAGGCATCACACTACCTGACTTCAAACTATACTACAAGGCTACAGTAACCGAAACAGCATGGTACTGGTACCAAAACAGAGATAGAGACCAATGGAACAGAACAGAGCCCTCAGAAATAACGCCGCTTATCTACAACTATCTGATCTTTGACAAACCTGAGAAAAACAAGCAATGGGGAAAGGATTCCCTATTTAATAAATGGTGCTGGGAAAACTGGCTAGCCATATGCAGAAAGCTGAAACTGGATCCCTTCCTTACACCTTATACAAAAATTAATTCAAGATGGATTAAAGACTTAAACGTTAGACCTAAAACCATAAAAACCCTAGAAGAAAACCAAGGCATTACCATTCAGGACATAGGCATGGGCAAGGACTTCATGTCTAAAACACCAAAAGCAATGGCAACAAAGCCAAAATTGACAAATGGGATCTAATTAAACTAAAGAGCTTCTGCACAGCAAAAGAAACTACCATCAGAGTGAACAAGCAACCTACAAAATGGGAGAAAATTTTCGCAACCTACTCATCTGACAAAGGGCTAATATCCAGAATCTACAATGAACTCAAACAAATTTACAAGAAAAAAACAACCCCATCAAAAAGTGCGTGAAGGACATGAAAAAACACTTCTCAAAAGAAGACATTTATGCAGCCAAAAACCACATGAAAAAATGCTCACCATCACTGGCCGTCAGAGAAATGCAAATCAAAACCACAATGAGATACCATCTCACACCAGTTAGAATGGCAATCATTAAAAAGTCAGGAAACAACAGGTGCTGGAGAGGATGTGGAGAAATAGGAACACTTTTACACTGTTGGTGGGACTGTAAACTAGTTCAACCATTGTGGAAGTCAGTGTGGCGATTCCTCAGGGTTCTAGAACTAGAAATACCATTTGACCCACCCATCCCATTACTGGGTATATACCCAAAGGACTATAAATCATGCTGCTATTAAGACACATGCACACATATGTTTATTGCAGCACTATTCACAATAGCAAAGACTTGGAACCAACCCAAATGTCCAACAATGATAGACTGGATTAAGAAAATGTGGCACATATACACCATGGAATACTATGCAGCCATAAAAAATGATGAGTTCATGTCCTTTGTAGGGACATGGATGAAATTGGAAATCATCATTCTCAGTAAACTATCGCAAGAACAAGAAACCAAACACCGCGTATTCTCACTCATAGGTGGGAATTGAACAATGAGGACACATGGACACAGGAAGGGGAACATCACACTCTGGGGACTGTTGTGGGGAAGGGGGAGGGGGGAGGGATAGCTTTAGGAGATATACCTAATGCTAAATGAGGAGTTAATGGGTGCAGCACACCAGCATGGCACATGTATACATATGTAACTAACCTGCACATTGTGCACATGTACTCTAAAACTTAAAGTATAATAATAATAAAATAAAATAAAATAAAGAAATAAAATAAATAAATAAATTAAGCCTGGACCAACACTGTGGTAGTCAGTAAAACAGTTTAATTAGCTGATGACTACTCTTCAGTGCATGATCTTGGAACACTAAATAGGCTTTATGGATCCTTTAATAAGTTGTGCTTTATTTTTACTCCACTGTTTTCAAGATGATTTTGGATTTTTAATACTTCACCTTCTTTTATAAGAGCTTCTGTGGATTAAATTAGTAAATCAACGTAAAAATAAATATCAACTACCCTGTACAATAATTATGTTCAGTATATAATAATGGGCAACACAATAGTTTGATCTTGGGTATTAGGTAGTTCAGAAGCTTTTGGCAATGCTTATAAATTCAGTCTTTTAGCTGAGTTCAAAAACATATAACCCTGAAAGACATCATCAGTGCTGCTCAAACTTCAACCCAAATGTGACCCTCTGCGTATTATAATAATACAAAAAGAACTAGAAAAAAATTCATGCATCTGAATTAAATACTTAAGAATTAACCATAACTCCTTTAAGAAAACTTTCGTTGAGAAATGTGATGTTTTCAAACTTCTACCAAAATACTCAGTAGGCCATAGAGAAAGCAGCTAAGCATGAGAGCCAGATGGCCTGGGTCTGAATCTCACCTCTGTTCATTAGCTGTGAGACCTTCAGCAAGTTACTTAACCCCCCTGAGCCTTAGTTTCCACCTTGTCTAATGGTGATAATAGTAGTATCTGAGCCATAGGGGTATTGTGAGGATTCAGTGTAATGGACTGGGCAGCCCAGCAGTGGTACAGAGCAGCCCCACCATAGGTATCCATGCTGTTTCTTTGATTTGCTTTTACCCAATTTAGACATTCCTTTCCTCCATTGCCAAATACTTAATTTGAGCCAAATTATTTATCCTTCCAGTATGGTGCTAAATTTATCTAACTATACTTTTAATTTTATGAGGGCAGGGGCTCAAACTCATATTTATTAGTGTCTTTTATGACATGTAATATAGTGAGCTGTATGGGAAAAAATTTTGTTAAAGCTTATATTATTAAGGAAACAATAAACTAAATAACTTAGCAGAAGGTTGTTAAATTTCCTTCTGTATTTGTTTTATTTATTTATTTTAAAAGCCTCTAGTGGGATAAAGCTTCTTTTGAGTATGTTAAGAATAAAGGGATTTTGAACAAATGGTCAGAATAATGGTATGTTAGGCATCTGTGGCTGAAAAATAATATTTCTAAGATATCATATGTCCCAATGATTCTTTATTCCTTATATCTGTTGTTCTTAAATGTGTTTCTGCAATAAAACTGTTTAAGTATTAGAGACTGGAATAAGAGGTATCTTTAACAGGTTGGGTTCGAGTCCATACATTTTTAGTGGATTCCGGTAGCATAATTTTTGAAATTTCCCCCAGCAGCATTTGAGGGCCCTTTATGTGCTAGACACTGAGAGGCACTCAAGAAAGAATGGTGCAGACAAACAAGATCACCACTCTTCTGGTATCTGTACTGTAGTGAGGGAGAGCGATAATAAAGAAAGAAATACATAAAATAATTACAGTCTGACTGATGCTTTGAAGTTAATAAGCAGAGTCGCAAGAGAGGATAATAAGGTGAAATGGGCGGCTCCAACAGATGGAAGTGGTGTTCCCAAGATCCCAAAGAGAAAAGAACATGAGCCGTTCTAGAAACTGTCAGGAGGTTAGCGTGACCTGAGCATAGTGGCACATGATGAGCTTGTACAGGTGGGCGGCGGCTAGAACACGCCTGGCCTCATTGTCACCATAAGGGGTCTGGATTTTATTCAAACCACAAAGGGAAAAAACTTATTTAGTTGCCTGGGTTTTCAATGGAGACCAAAGGCTGATATTATCTATCTTCATTTTTTAAAAAAGTTCTGTGGCTTCTATACAAATTAAGGGCAATAAGTGGGTAATGACAGTAGGGAGACAGGATAAAGGCTAGAGGAGAAGGCAAGATAACAATGGTGGTGGGGCCAGGTGCAGTGGCTCACGCCTGTAATCCCAGCACTTTGGGAGCCCAAGGTGAGTGGATTCCTTGAGCTCAGGAGACTGAGACCAGCCTGGACAACACAGGGAGACCCTGTCTATACAAAAAAATGAAAAAATTAGCTGGGCAAGGTGGCGCACGCCTCTGGTCTCAGCTACTCAGGAGGCTGAGTGGGAGGATCACTTGGGCCCAGGAGGTCAAGGCTGCAGTAAGTCGAGATCATGCCACTACACTGTAGGTGGGGTCACAATGTGAGACCCTATCTCAAAAAAAAAAAAAAAAAATTGTGGTGGCAGTAGGACTGTAGGTGAGCAACAGCCCTTGATATGAACAGATGAGGGAGCAGAAGAACGAAGAGTTCCTGGGTTTCTGTCTGGATGGTGGTGCCATTTATTGAAATGACTCATTTTACATATTCAGGAGATACCAAAGTGTAGATTTCAGGTTGGCAATTGGATATGGAGGTCTGATCTTAGAGGAAAGATCTAGATTGAAGATTCAGAGATTTGCATTTGGAGGACATAAGCAAAGAGTTAATGTTTAAAGATAAAAAAGAATAAGGTCGGTCACTTGGAGTAGGATGCTATCAGAAAAGAGAAATAGTCCCAGGACTCAGTCCTTGGAAACTCTAATATTAGGGGAACCTAAACCAGCCAACCAGCATGAATATGGCCAATGAGATAAGGAAAATCAGGAGAGGGAGATGTACTGGAAACAAAGAGAGAAGCATGTCTCTACAAATATGAAGATGGCAACTGGTAAAAATCACTAAGAGGTTAAGATGAAGACAGAAGAGAATTCATGGGATTTGTCAACATAGAAGTCATCACTAACTCTGAAAAGAACAGCATCAGTTGATTAGAGGGGATGAAAGGTAGATAACTAATAGGAAGTGAGAACCTGCAGACAGCATGTAAAGACAATTCTTTTGAGGAATTTTGCTATACTGGTGAGCGGAGATACAGGACAGCAGCTGAGGGGGATTGTAGAAAGACAATTGAAATGGCTGATTTAAGATGAGAGATTCTAGAGCATGTTGTAGGCTGACAAGAAGTATCTACTAGTAAGAGAGAAATAATTTATTCCTGAAAGAGAGGGCACAATTAAAGGAGCAAAGCCCTTGAGAAGGAAAAAGAAAATGGGATCTGGATGCCTCAAGGGTGCAGATGTTGACAAATGTATTGAGTCGGTGGTGCTAAAAGCTCTCTTCAGATGGCTTTTTTTTTTCATGAAGGATAAGGTGAGATGTGGGAGCAGAAGGAAGGGCAAAGAGGGCATAAGTGGTTGTTTTGAGAGGAGGAAAGCAAATATCCCCGGGAATAGTAGTGGGATTGCTTCATAGTGTTACAAACCATCTTGAGATTTGTGACCATCAATTTAAAATAAAACTTCTTGGCACAGTAATGCGATTATCATACACTGTTGTGATTACATATCTACTTGTTAGTGTCTCCCACCACAGTATAAATTAGTTGAGGGACAAGATCCTAAATTGTTCCCTGTTGATATCTCCAGTGCCTGATAGAAGAGTGAGCCAGTGAATTCATCATTCAGTGATGAATAAGGAAGTTGTCTTCAACACACTAGTTAAAGCAGTACACATTAACAGGCACTTAGAGATTAATGTCATTTATATAAAGACAATTTTGATAAAATTCTGGAATCTGTAGCATTTAAAAAATAACTCTTATTTAAAATCGTGGCCTTGTCCACTAAATTTGAAATAAAATATCAGGGTAGCCATAAAGTGTAGACAATCATCAAGAAAATAAAGATTTCCTCACAATCTTTCAACCACAGAGCAAATGTTTCTATTAGCTATAAGTTTTGGAATGTTAAGCTATAGGTTTTGGAATGACAGGAAAGAATACATATCTTAGGATTCTATGAAGGTATATGCTTCAAGGGACCAGGAAAAACCTTCTTTTCAATGCTGTACATGTCAAGTCCCCACAGCCAACATAAGATTATGGCTGATTATCCTATATGCTGTTAATTTGATGATTACCTTCTTAACATTTTAGGAATAACTTCTAACTTACAAAATTTTGCAAAAAGTACAAAGGACATATATTCTTTATCCAGATTCATCTACTGTTATCATTTTCTTCCCCTATTTGCTTGATCATTCCCCCTCACCCCTTCTCTTTCTCTCTCTTTCCACCTGGCTCACTCATTTGCTCTCTGTATCTCAATAATTTTTTTCTCTGGCATTTAAGGTAAATTACATTCATGTTTATTACTTTTTTAACAGCTGAGGAAAGTATGCTAGAATGTCATGTTTTTGTTCAGTGCCCAGATATGAGCCGACTCATTCTGTCCCTGCACTTACCATCCTCAGGAGGATGCTTGTATTCTTTGTCTTCCATCACTTCATAGTCAAACCCAAGAAGATCAATAGGAATTGTGTATTTCCTGGCGTAGTTCTGCTGGGCACCGGTCAGGAAGGCTTGTGTGAAGAAGAAGCCAGAAAGCCAGAAGACTGGAGGAGGACCAACCTCATACCATTGCTAGGGTGTAAAACACAAGTGGGCTAACAGTAGCACCTTTCAACCTTTTTTTCTTTTTTTTTGAGACAGGATCTCTGGTTGCCCAGGCAGGGCTCAGGTGATCCTCTCACCTCAGCCTCCCAAGTAGCTGGGAATACAGGCACATACCACCATGCCTGGCTAATTTTTTTGTATTTTTAGTTGAGAAGGGGTTTTGCTATTTTGCCCAGGCTGGTCTTGAACTCCTAGACTCAAGCAGTATGCCTTCCTCAGCCTCCCAGAGTGCTGGGATTACAGGCATGAGCCACCACACCTAGGGAGCCTTTCAACTTTTGAATACAACACTACTTAATAAAATGTATCCAAAGACATTTGTTGTCTTTTAGATAAACTAACAAATAACCCCTGAGGAGTAACAAGCCATACTCTCAAGGTTTTAAAAACAGGTGGTATATTCGGTATTTGTCCTGACTTCAATTTCATACCTATCATATCAGCTTGGAAATTACAATGTGCATTAATGCAAACAAATGTCTGTTTTATACATGCCCCATGATTCTTTCAGAAACGCTCCCTACAATAGTGAATATCTAATACGCATTGCTACACAATATATCATGTTACATAGTTGAACAGAAGAAGAGATCCCCATAAAGTCTGGTCAGATGGTTATGTTTTTCACTTTTCTTCTCTCTCTAATTAGTCATTAGTACCCAATAGAATGTTGCTTTGGAAGTTTTTCTTCCTACTTCACTAAAACACAGTAAAATTCAACATATAGGAACACAATATTGTACAAGGAATTCCTGGAAGAAGCAGGGTAGTGAGACCTTAAGGCCTTTAGAAATATCAAGATACTTTAGTTCTCTGTTCATAACATAGATTCTAATGGTGAGTCAGTTGAATACCAACTTTAACTAGATAGTAAATTAGAGAAGCCAATCTGAAGAAATGAGTTTGAAAAGCTTTTCCCTAAAAGAGCCCAAGGTATAACTTTATCCTTCAAAAACAATCTTAGTTCCTTAGTATTGACTGTAGCATAACAAAAGGCCTGAATTATGAAAAGGGAATTTAACCATTTTTATCCCTGCAGAAATTTCTTCATAGGCAGCTTTTGACACATTATATACAGAATCTAGGAAATTAATCAATATTTCTAATAGGTAGAGTTGTTAATAAGAACATAGTTAAGCACCAATATTACCAGACAATTAGTAGATAGGCTTCTGCCCACTCAACATTTCCAAGACAATTAGCCATTGAGGTCATTACTGACTTGGGCTGAACCAGCAATCTAGTGATTCCATGACCTAGAAAAGTTCTGGGCAATGAAGCTATAATACCCCTCACTGGAAGCTTGACTGGCTTTCGAAAATGTTTTGCTGTAGGTATCTATTTTAATGTTAAATACCTAGTGGAAAAACCAACATAGCTAGATGTTTTCTGCCTTCATTTAGTGCTAGCTTTTTGACAGTTCAGTGTAGCAGTTACATACATTATATGAAATATTAAGTAGTGGTGATTTGTGCCTGGGATGCACAGAAAAACTAGAGAGTAATACTCATTACATTAAGCATTCTGACGAAGAAAATGAAACCAGGAGAAACTTAACAATATACGATCATTTAGACGAACTTACCTGCAAGAATTTTAGTCTTGCAAGGAAGTCATTCACATAGCTGCCAAGTGGTTTAAGGCTTGGGTAGGATTTACCCATCCACATTTCTGGAATTTTGACATTCAAAATGCTGCTAACCACTTCTTCAAGATCTGTAGACATGACTGCAAGCCCCTGAAACACATTTAACCTTGGTTAATATAATAGTATAGATTATGATAGATTATAAGCAACCACCTTTTAAATACCTCCTTCATGATTATCCTTTGTTTACATTGTGATTAGTTAAGGTTGAGTCATACAGGAAAAAAAAAAAGTGAAGATATTTGTTTTTCCTTACAAGTAGGCCAGGGAGTCTTTGAATTATTCCTTAGAAAAATATTAACAATTTTAATCTAACCATTTTTTGTTTTATTTTTTGAGACGGGATCCTTCTCTATTGCCCAGGCTGGAGTGCAGTGGTGGGATCATGGCTCACTGCAACCTCGACCTTCTGGGCTCAATTAATCCTTCCACCTCAGGCTCCCAAGAAACTGGGACTACAGACATGCATCACCACACCCAACTGATTTTTTACTTTAAAAATTTTTTTGTATAGGAAGCCAGGCAAGGTGGCTCATGCCTGTAATCCTAGGACTTTGGGGCCGAGGCAGGTGAATCACTTGAGCTCAGGAGTTCAAGACTAGACTGGGCCACATGGCGAAACCTCACCTCCACAACAAATACAAAAATTCGCTGGGTGTGGTGGTGCACGCCTGTAGTCCCAGTGACTTGGGGGGATGAGGCAAGAGGATCACTTGAACCTGGGAGGTCGAGGCTGCAGTGAGCCAAGATTGTGCCACTGCACTCCAGCCTGGGTGACAAAGTGAGACCCTGTCTCAAAAAAAAAAAAAAGTTGTAGAGATGGGGTCTTACTATATTGCCCATGCCGGTCTCAAACTGCTGGCCTCAAGCAATCCTCCTGTCTCGACCTCCCGAAGTGCTGGGATTAAAGGCATGAGCCACTGCACCTGCACCTGAGCTAACCAAGTTTTAATAGAAAAATCTTAATCAATACTTGGCTACTCGCTACCTATTAAATCACAGACTAACTTTGACTTAGTTTACTGTCTATTAAGTGAATAAGTAATACAGTTCTATACTGCATTCTGAAAAGGATGGTGATAAATATAAAATTAGAAAAATTACATAAAATGCTTTGAAAAGTTAAAATGTCCTGGAATTGAATTATGAAGTCTAGTTGACCATTTCCCATTTTGAATGACTGATGCACGGATGTTAAAACTTTGAAGGCCCTGATAATTCCTGCTTATTTGACTTTTAACTGGGCCAGTTGCTATTATTCATTTCTGTCTTTTCTATAGTTGAAAATATTATTCCAACTAACATAGGGAAAAGATTTGGGAGTAAATTTGATGTACTAAATACACACATTTCATTTGCCATCTTCTCAAAACCCCGCTAAAACAGCAGTAAAGGAATTTACTTTTTAAAGACATAAGCCCCCAAGTGTAGAAACAAAGAGGGGAAGGGAAAATGACAACACAATTGTGGGAGCTAGAAAGCATATGGACTGCTGGTAGTAGATTTAGCATACAGAAGAAACCTGATCCTGAATTGGCAGGGGGAAAAGCTAAGAATCAACCAGACATACACTGCACAATACCCCTAAATCTTGGGAATGAATGTCATACATACTTCTGAAAGTGGGGCGAGGAGGGCAGTGTTAAAGATCATTAAAACTTGGTTTAAAAAACAGATCTTCCTCCCCCGCCCCAAAAACTATGCATTGCCTACCTTGAATATAATCTGGAGAGGAAAATGCAGAAATCCCTAGAGTGGGAAATGGCAGGCCCCGTTAGGGCCAAAGTTACCATACTGAAATCAGGGGGATTAAGTGAATGCATGAATACTGGATGCTGAGATTCCCTGGAGCTTCTTTTCCCTTTTAGTTCCCAGAATACTAGAGCCAGCCCTTTATCTTCCAGGAAGGACACAAGAAGAAGCAGGTCAAGAAGAAATACATAATCATGCTGAATGTTTCTTAAACAGCCTAGCCAGGTAACACTACATTGAAGACCACAGTCAACAATCACCGGTATTCTTATTGTGTTCATTCAACATGATAATGCCGCATTCTTAAACATAAGTAGACAACCCCAAATTATCAGATACCAGAAAAGGCTTCTAACATGTAAAGTTTTTCACTTATGCATTCAACTTCTAAACACAAAAAAGATTATTCTGATTTTTTGTTTCTTCTTGTATCTGTTTGGTAACATATGTTTTCCCAAGAATTTGTCTATTTCATTTACATTTTAAAATGTATTTACATTTTAAATGTATTGGCATAGGTTTGAGAAGGGAGGCAGAGCAAGATGGCCAATAGAAGCCTCCACAAATCGTCCTCCCTGCAGGAACACCAAATTTAACAACTATCTACACAAAAAAGCAACTTCATAAGAACCAAAAATCAGGTGAATGACCACAGTACCCAGTTTTAACTTTAATCACTGAAAGAGGCACTGAAGAGGGCAGGAAAGACAGTCTTGAATTGCTGATGCCAACCCTCCTCCATCACCCGGCAGTGGCAGTGTGGCACTGAGAATCTGTCGCTTGTAGGAGGGAGAGCACAATGATTGAGACTGTACTGGAACTCAGTGCTTTCCTGTCACAGAAGACAGCAACACCAGGAAGAGCTCAGCTGATGCCTGTGAAAGAAGCATTTAGACCAACCCTAACTACAGGGGAAGCACACATCCCAGCAGTTGGAACAGGAGTTTCAGCAAGCCTTGCCACCACCAGCTAAAGTGCTCTGGGGTTCTAAATAAATTTGAAAGGCAGTCTAGGCCACAGGAACGACAATTCCTAGGCAAGGCCTAGTCCTGTGCTAGACTTGGAGCTAGTGGCTTGCGGGGGGCATGCCATCTAGTGAGACACCTGCCAGGGTGGTTAATAGAGTGCTTGCACCACCCCTCCCCCAATCCCAGGCAGCATAGCTTGCAGCTCCAGGAGAGACTACTTCCTTACTGCTTGAGGAGAGGAGAGGGAAGAGTAAAGAGGACTTTGTCTTGCAACTTGGGGGCCAGTTCAGCCACAGTAGGATGGGGCACCGGGAACAGTCCTGGGGTCCACATTCTAAGCCCTGGCTCCTGGACAATATTTCTAGACACATATTTGGTCATAAAGGAACCTGCACTCTTGAAGGGAAGTGCCCACTCCTGGTGGGATTCATCACCTGCTGACTAAGGAGCTCTTGGCCCTGAATAATAAGCAGCAGTAGCCAGGTAGTACACACCATGGGCCTTGAGTGAGACTCAGTGCCATGCAGGCTTCAGGTGTGACCCTGCACGTTTCCACCTTGGTGGCTACCAGGAGAGATTCCTTTTTGAGGAAAGCACAGGGAAGAGTAAAGGGGGCTTTGACTTGCAGCTTAGGTACCAGCTTGACTGCTACAGTGGGGTATGCACCAAGAGGTCTCCTAGGGTCCCCAATTCCAGGCCTTGGCTCCTGGATGGCATTTCTGGAAAGGAGTTCAAGACTAGCCTGGGCAACATGGTGAAACCCCGTCTCTACAAAAAATAAAAAAATTAGCTGGGTGTTGGTGGTGCAGGTCTTTAGTCCCAGCTGCTTGGGGGGCTGAGGCAAGAGGATTACTTGAACCTGGGAGGTTGAGGCTGCAGTGAGCCAAGATTGTGCCGCTGCACTCCAGCCTGGTTGACAAAGTGAGACCCTTAAAAAAAATTGTAGAGATGGTATCTCACTATGTTGACCATGCTGCTCTCCCAACTCCTGGCCTCAAGCAATCCTCCTGTCTCAGCCTCCCAAAGTGCTGGGATTATAGGTGTGATCCACTGCACCTGATCTAACCAAATTTTAATAGAAAAATCTTCTTAATCAATACTTGGCTACTTGCTAGCTATTAAATCACAGACTAACTTTGGCAACATTCACCACAAGGTGGCTAAAGACCCCTTGGGCCTTGAGTAAGATCAGCAGTAGCCCGGCAGTACTCCCTGTGAACCTGTGATGATGGCAGCTACAGGGAGAGGCTCCTCTGCCTGTGGAAAGGGGAAAGAAGATAACACAACTGTGTTTGAGAATAGCTTTGTCTTGTAGTTTGGGTGCCAGCTCAGCAGCAGTAGAACAGAGCACCAGGTGAATTCTTAAGGTTTCAGGCTGTAGGCTCTGACTCCCAGGCAGCATCTCTGGACTCATCCAGGGCCCAGGGAAACTGACTGCTGTGAAGGGAAGGACATAAGCCTGGTTGGCTTTGCCACCTGCTGACTGTAGAGCCCCAGGGCCTTGAGCAAACATAGACAGTAGCCAGGGAGTGGGTACAACAGGCCTTGGATGAGACCCAGTGCTGTGCTGGTTTCAGGTCTGACCCAGCACAGTCTCAATGTTGGTGGCCATATGGGTGTTTTTGTCACCCCTCCTCCAGCTTCAAGCAGCTCAGCAGAGAGAGAGAGAGTCCATGTGTTTATGAGAAACAAAGGGAAGAGAACAAGACTCTTTCCCTTGTAATTTAGAGAAGTCTTCTGAACCTTATCCAAGACCACCAAGGCAGTATCTCTATGAGTCTGAAAGAGCTACAGTGTTACTGGGCTTCTAAGTGCCCCCTAAAGCAGATACAGCTGCAGTGACCAAAAACTTAGATCACAACATCCAAGTCCCTTCAAATATCTGGAAAGCCTTCCCAAGAAGCATGGGTACAAACAAGCCCAGACTGCAAAGACTACAGTAAAAACTTATCAGTGCCCACATACTGACAAACATCCACAAGCATCAAGACCATCTAGGATACTGAATAGTGTCTGGGTAGCAAAAAATAAAATAAAAAATAAGACCATTCATAAAACATGACCTTACCAAATAAACTAAGGCACCAGTGACTAATCCTGGAGATACAGATATGTGACCTTGCAGACAGAGAATTCAAATAAGTGTTTTGAGGAAATGCAAAAAAAGATTCCAAATAACACCGAGAAGGAATCCAGAATCCTATGAGATAAATTCAACAAAGAGATTGAGATTTTTTTAAAAGAATCAAGCAGAAATTCTGGAGCTAAAAAATGCAATTAATATGCTGAATAATGCATCAGAGTCTCTTAACAGCAGAACTAATCAAGCAGAAGAAACTAGTTAGCTAGAAGACAGGCTATTTGAAAATACACAGTAAGATGAGATAAAAGAAAAAACAAGAAAGCACACCTACAAGATCTAGAAAATAGCCTTAAAAGGGCAAATCTAACACTTATTGGCCTTAAAGAAGAGGTAGAGAGAGATATATATGGGAAGAAAGTTTATTCAAGCAGTAGTAACAAAGGACTTCCTAAACCTAGAGAATGATATCAATATTCAAGTACAAGAAGGTTATAGAACACCAAGCAGATTTAAGCCAAAAAAGACTCAAGGCATTTAACAATCAAACTCCCAAAGGTAGTAAAATAAAGAAAGGATCCTAAAAACAGTAAGATAAAAGAAACAACACACAATGGAGTTCCAATATGTCTGGCAGCAGACTTTTCATTGGAAACCTTACAGGCCATGAGAAAGTGGCATGGCATATTTAAAGTGCTGAAGGAACAAAACTTTTACCCTAGAATAGTATATCTGGTGAAAATATCCTTCAAATATAAAGGAGAAATAAAGAGACTTTCCCAAACAACAAAAGCTGAGGGATTTCATCCACACCAGACTTGTTCTATAAGAAATACTAAAGGGTATTCTACAACCTGAAAGAAAAGGATGTAAATGAGCAATAAGAAATTATCTGAAGGTATAAAACTCAGGGTAATACTAAGTTCACAGAAAAACAGAATATTATAACACTATAAGTGTGTTGTGTATACTACTCATATCTTGAGGAGAAAGACTAAAAGATGAACAAATAAAAAATAATAACTACAACAACTTTTCAAGACAGAGACAGTATAATAGGATATAAATAGGAAAAACAAAAAGTTAAAAAGCAGGAGGGATGAAGGTAAAGTGTAGAGTTTTTATTAGGTTTCTCTTTGCTTGTTTCTTTGTTTATGCAATCGGTTTTAAATTGTCATCAGTTTAAAATAATGGGTTACAAGATATTATTTGCAAGCCTCATGGTAACCTCAAATCAAAAAACATATAATAAATACACAAAAAGTAAAAAGCAAGAAGTTAAAACATACTACCAGAGAAAAATCACCTTCATTAAGAGGAGAGGAAGGAAAGGAGGAGAAAACCAGAAAATAACAAAATGGCGGGAGTAAGTACTTACTTATCAATAATAATGTTGAATGTAAATGGACTAAACTTTTCAATCAAAACACATACAGTGGCTGAATGAATTTTTTTAAAAAACAAGACTCAATGATCTGTTGCCCAGAAGAAACACACTTCACCTATAAAGATACATATAGACTGAAAATAAAAGGATAAAGATATTCCATGCCAATACAAACCATAAAAGAGCAGGAGTAGCTATACTTATATCAGACAAAATAGATTTCAAAACAAAAACTACAAAAAGAGACCAAGAAGGCCATTATATAATGATAAAGTGGTCAATTCAGCAAGAGGATATAACAATTTTAAATACATATGCACCCAACACTGGAAAACCAAGATATATAAAGCAACTATTACAGCCAAAGAGAGACACAGACACCAATAAAAATAGTAGCTGGAGACTTCAACACCCTACTTTCAGCATCAGACAGACCATCCAGACAGAAAATCAACAAAGAAACATCAGACTTAAACTGCACCGCAGACCAAATGGTCCTAATAGATACTTACAGAACGTCTCATCCAGTGGCTGCAGAATACATGGTTAACTCAGCACGTGGATCGTTCACATGTTAGGCCACAAAAAAAGTTTCAAAATATCCAAAAAAATGAAATAATATCAAGTATCTTCTCTGACTACATGGAATAAAACAAGAAATCAATAACAAGAGGAATTTTGGAAACTATACAAATACATGGAAATTAAACAATATGCTCCTGAAGACCAGTGAATCAATGAAGAAACTAAAAAGGAAATTCAAAATTTTCTTGAAACACATGATAATGGAAATGCAACATGCAAAATCCTACAGGATACAGTGAAAACAGTAGTAAGGTGGATGTTTATAGTTTAAGTGTTTCTAAACTATGTTTGTAGTTTAAGTGCCTACATCAAAAAAGCAGAAAAACTTCAAATAAACTACCTAATGATATATCTTAAAGAACTAGCAAAGCAAGAGCAAACCAAACCCAAAATTAATATAAGAAAAGAAATAATAAAAATCAGAGCAGGAAAAATTAAATGAAGAAAGTACATAATCAACAAAATGAAAAGTTGATTTTATGAAAAGATAAACAAAATCAACAAACCTTCAGCCAAACTAAGAAAATAAAAGAGAGAAGACCCAAATAAATAAAATCAGAGATGAAAAAAGAAACATTACAATAGATGGCACATAAATTCAAAGGATCATTAGTGGCTACTATTAGCAATTTATTATACCAATAAACTGGAAAACCTAGAAGAAATGGAGAAATTCCTAGAAACATACAACCTACCGGGATTGGACCATGAGGATATCCAAAAACTAAACAGACCAATATCAAGTAATAAGATCAAAACCATAATAAAGGGTCTCCCAGCAAAGAAAAGCCCAGGACCTGATAGCTTAGAATTCAGTACTGAATTCTACCAAACATTTAAAGAAGAATACCAATCCTACTAAGCTATTCTGAAAAAGAGAGGTGGAGGGAATAATTACAAACTTATTCCATGAGGCCTGTATTACTTTTACCAAAACCAGACAAAGACATATCAAACAAAGAAAACTACAGAGAAAAAAAACTACAAGCCAATATCCCTGATTTTTGCATCCCTGATGCAAAAATCTTGAACAAAATACTAGCAAACTGAATTCAACAATACATTCATCATGATCAAGTGGGATTTATCCCAAGAATGCAAGAATGATTCAACATACACAAATTAGTCAGTGTGATACATCATATCAACAGAATGAAGGACAAAAACTGTATAATAATTTCAATTGATACTGAAAAAGCATTTGATAAAATTCAACATCCCTTAATGATTAAAAAAAAAACTTTAAAAACTGGGTATAGAAGGAACATACATCAACTTAATAAAAGCCATATATGACAGACCCACAGCTAGTATCATACTGCATGGAGAAAAGCTGATAGTCTTTCCTCTTAGATGTGGAAAATAACAAGGATGTCCACTTTCACAACTGTTATCAACAAAGTACTGGAAGTCCTAGTTGGAGCAATCAGACAAGAGAAAGAAATAAAGCACATCCAAATTAGAAAGGAAGAAATTAACTTATCCTTGTGTGCAGTTGATATGATCTTATATTTGGAAAAACCTAAAGACTCCACCAAAAATACTGTTGGAATTGATAAATTCAGTAAAGTTACAGGATATAAAATCAACGTACAAAAATTAGTAGCATCTCTATATGCCAAGAGTGAACAATCTGAAAAGGAAATCAAGAAATCAAGAATCCCATTTACAATAGCTACAAAAAGATAAAATACCTAGGACTTAACCAAAGAAGTAAAAAGACCTCTATGATAAAAACTATAAAACACTGGTGAAAGAAATTGAAGAAGACACAGTAAAATGGAAAGATATTCCATGTCAATGGATTGGAAGAATCAATATTGTTAAAATGTCCATCCTACCAAAAGCAGTCTATAGATTCAGTGCAACCCCCATCAAAATACCTATGACATTCTTTATAGAAATAGAAAAAAAAAAACGCTAAAACTTATATGGAACCACATAAGACCCAGAATAGCCAAAGCTATCCTGAGCAAAATGATTAAAACTGGAGGAATCACATTACCTGATTTCAAATTATACTACAGAGCTATAATCAACAAAACAGCATGGTACTGGCATAAAAACAGACACACAGCCCAATAGAACAGGAGAGAGAACCTATAGATAAATCCATACATCTACAGTGAACTCATTTTTGACAAAGTTGCCAAGAACATACTTTAGTTGACAGTCTCTTCAATAAATGGTGCTGGGAAATCTGGATATTCATATGCAGAAAAGTGAAACCAGACCCCCATCTTGCCATATTAAAAAAGTTAAAATGGATTAAAGGCTTAAATCTAAGACCTCAAACTATGAATCTACTGTGAGGAAACATTGAAGAAGCTCTCCAGGACCTTGGATTGGGCAAAGATTCCTTGAGTAATACTCCACAGGCACAGACAAACAAAGCAAAAGTAGACAAATGGGATCACACCAATTAAAAAGCTTGTCCATAGCAAAAGAAGCAATCAATAAAATGAACAGAGAACACAGAGAATGGGAGAAAATATTTGCAAACTACCTATCTGATGAGAGATTAAGAACCAGAATATATAAGATGGTCAAACAACTCTGTAGGAAAAACTCTAATAATCCAATTTTAAAATGGGCAAAAGATCTGAATAGACATTTCTCAAAAGAAGACATACAAATGGCAAAAAGGCATACAGAAAGGTGCTCAATGTCACTGATCATCAGAGAAACCCAAATCAAAACTACAATAAGATATCATCTCGCCCTAGTTAAAATGGCTTATATCCAAAAGACAGACAGTAACAAATGCAGGTGAGAATGTGGAGAAAAGGGAACGCTTGTACACTGTTGGTGAGAATGTAAATTAGTACAACCACTGTGGAGAACAGTTTGGAGATTCCTTAAAAAACTAAAACGAGAGCTACCATATGATCCAGCAATCCTACTGCTATATATACCCAAAGAAAGGAAATCAGTATATTGAAGATATATCTGCACTCCCATGTTTATTGCCGCACTACTCACAAAAGCCAAGATATGAAAGCAACCTGTGTCCATCAACAAAGGAACAGATGAAGAAAACGTGGTACTTATACACAACAGTGTATTATTCAGTCATAAAAAGAATGAGATCCTGTCATTTGCAACAAAATGGATGGAACCTGAGATCATTATGTTAAGCGAAAAAAGCCAGGCACTAAAGGACAAACTTTGCATGTTCTCGTTTAATTTGTGGGAGCTAATTTTTTTTTTTTTTTTTTTTTTTTGAGACAGAGTCTTGCTCTGTCACCCAGGCTGGAGGGCAGTGGCACAATCTTGGCTCACTGCAACCTCCGCCTCCCTGGTTCAAGCGATCCGCCTGCCTCAGCCTTCCAAATAGCTGGGATTACAGGCATCTCCCACCATGCCAATTTTTATATTTTTAGTAGAGACGGGTTTCGCCCTGTTGGCCAGGCTGGTCTCAAACTCCTGACCTCAGGTGATCCACTGGCCTCCGGTTCCCAAAGTGCTGGGATTACAGGCGTGAGCTACCATGCACAGGCCATGGAAGCTAAATATTAAAACAATTGAACTTGTGGAGTTAGAGAGTAGAATGATGGCTACCAGATGTTGGGTAGAGTAGTGGTAGGTAGGGTTAATAGTAGGGATGGTTAATGAATATTTTAAAAAATGAA
This sequence comes from Homo sapiens, assembly GCF_000001405.40. Classification (NCBI taxonomy): domain Eukaryota; kingdom Metazoa; phylum Chordata; class Mammalia; order Primates; family Hominidae; genus Homo; species Homo sapiens. The sequence continues at coordinate 195,766,600 of NC_000002.12, forward strand.
AGAATGAAGGAGATCTAGTATTTGATGGCACAACAGAGTGACTACAGTCAATAATTTAATTGCACATTTAAAAATAACTAAAAGAGAATAATTCATTGTTTGTAACACAAAGGATCCATGTTTGAGGTGATCGATACCCCATTTACCCTGATGTAATTATTATTCATTGTATGCCTGTATGAGAATATCTCATGTATCCCACAAATATATACATCTACTATATAACCACAAAAATAAGAAATAAATAAGTAAAATGTATTGGCATAATGTTTTCATGATGTCATCTTCAGATCTCTTAGACTATAGTGTCTATTTTGATTACTTCATTTCCATTGTTGATATTAGTTTCTGGTTACTTCTCTTTTTTTGCTTTGTCACTTCTGTTAGTCTTAAAATAAGGACTATTTGGCTTTGTTGAGTCTATTATGTTTGTTTTCTATTTCATTAATTTGTCTTTATTTTATTATGCTTTTTGTTTTTCTAACATATATTTGAAGCTGCATTCTCCAATTTTTGGCATGTTGATATCTGTTCACTCTAATTTAACAGAAATTATTATTAAATTTTCATTTAAATTTTTTAAGCTGTGAGTTATTAAGAAGTGTTTTACTAAATTTCCAAATATATGGGTATTTCTCATTGTGCTTTTGTTATTCATTACTAGCTTAATTCCTCTCTGATCAGAGAATATAGTCTGATGATCTGAGACCTTTTAATTTATTGAGACTTGTTTTATAGTTTTTATATAGTCATTCTTTGTAAATGTTCCATGTTAATTTGAAAAGAAAAGTATATTATACTCTTGTGGGAATCAGTGTTCCATATACACCAGTTAGCTCAATTTGTAAATGGAGTTGTTCGACACTTCTATACCTTTACTCCTCCTCCTCAAAATTTCCTCCTCCTTTTTTTTGTTCAGTTTTAGCATTTAAAATTTATTTATTCTAGTACTGAACTTACAGGATATCCTTTTTCTTGTCTCTTAAGCCAAATAATTCACTTCTTTTCAATCTTTCTTGTTTAATAATTAAATTAAAAATAAAGTTAAGACTATAAATTTTCTTGGGTGTAACTTCAGCTTTATCCCATAATTATAATGTGTAATTTCTTTTGTTTATTGTTTCACTCTTTAAAAACTGCCAACTAGTTTTTTATTTCACTTAAAAAATAACACAGGACATTTTATAAAATGATTGCTCTGTATTCTTAAAAAATGTCAATATTATCAAAGATAAAGAAAGGCTAAGAAACTGTCTTGGAATAAAGAAGATAAAGAAACATGGCAACGGAATGAAATATTTGATCCTGGTCTGAAATCTGTGTCAGAATAGATTTTGCTAGAAAAGACAGAACTGGAATGATTGAAAAAATTGAAGTATTTGATTGCTGATTAGATAAAAATATTACATTTAGGTTTTTATTCTTAAATTTGATAACTGTATTGTGATATTGTAAAAGAATATTCTTGTTTTTGGAAAGTACACCTTAAAAGTATTAAGAGATAAAGGGGTATAAGCAAGCATTATTCTCAAATAATTCAGAAAACACTTATATATGGGTATATATATTTATATCTTTAATATATATATCTTTTATATATATATTATAAATATATATCTTTAAGATATATATAGAGAAAAGCAGAGGGCAAATGATAAGGCAAATATGGCAAATTTAGGAAAATATAATTTTACAGAGAATATGCATATTTTTAAGAAATCACAAATTGAGTCAAACAATACATAAAATTATACACCTTTTTTCATTTATCAGTATGTCTTGGCATCTTTCCACATCAGCAACTATAAAACTATCTCACTCTTAATTGATGGGCATTTCATCGTGTATATTATCATAACCACTGGATAATATTTAGATTAATCACTTATTGAAACAATGCAGTGCTGCCCATTCCTGTGCTTATAGCTTTGCATACGTGTGCATGTATCTATATATATATATTTAGGATAAAGAAGATTTAACATTTTTACTGGTATTACCAAGTTGTACTTCAAAGAGGTTCAACAATTTACATTTCCAATAACACATATGAGAATGCCTGATGACTAACCTGCCAACAATGAATACTGCTAAGTATTTAAATATTTGCTGGAATCCTGGGTAAATTAAAATTGAGTCCTTCTATAATTGCAATTCTTTGACATTTTTACAATATTGAACTTTTAAGTTTTAGTAGAGCTTTGATCTTTTACAAATATATAGGTTCAACATGTTCGTTTGCTAAATTTATTGTCATAATTTACCTTTTGTGTAACTGTAAGAAATAGGTTTTGTCTTATGTATTGGATATTGCCATTAAAAATACATCTGGTTTTAGCATTATACCAGAGAATGTGATATAAAATTGTCCCAGTTAGATTGTGTCTTTCACTGAGATATTGGAAAAAGAAATGAGTTTAATATGAGGTCTTACATTGCTACATTGGTCACAGATATCATGTCAAGTTAGGTTTTTCAAATTTGAAATATTTTCTTCCTCAAATTAGTGAAATATGAAGAGAATGATGAAAGAATGGCATGAGAAAGGACATTATAAGTAGTTCATATGAGTTGGGTGAAAGAAATTGATGCTTCAAAGTAATCTATGCTTGCGGAGAATAAAGCAACTCCATCTTGTAATTTCTTTTTAGTGATGGGGTCTTACTGTTGTCAAGGTGGTCTCGAATTCCTGGGCTCAAACAATCCTCCCAACTCAGCCTCCTAAAGTTCTCGTATTACATGTGTGAGCCACTGCACTAGGCCAGCAACTCCATCTTGGATGCCAGTCTGCCATGTTGGCATCTCATTAACCCCTCTGCTGAGAATGCCTTTAAGATTTCTACTTTATCCACTGTTACCATAAATCCTGCCCTTAGGTCAAAACAACCTTGACATTAAACCCTGCCATTGGGCAGATTCACATAGCATTATTGCCTTTCCCTGAGGGATCGTCTTCAATTGTCCTACACATTCCTTCCCTATGATGCATCAGCCCTGGGTCTAGGGGGTAAAGGTGTTAGGACCCACTATCTCCTCTCACGGCTGCCTGGACATTATGACTTCTGTTCGTAAGTCACTATTAAATGTTCCTTTCTGAGAAACTGGATTTGTCCAGCTTCTTTCTTTGGCCTCTCAGTTTTTCAGCCTTTGTGGATAGGTTTGCATAGACCTGCTTGCCACCGAAAAATGCTCATCAGTACTACCAAAATATTTGAAATAATTTATACATTTTATTTTCAAATATAATCAACGTGATACAGACTCTGAAATTTATCACCAGCCTTGACTTCCCTCTTGAACTCTAAAGGAGGTATCTAACAACTCGACCTCCCCATTGAGTCTACCAGGCATTTCAAAATTAATATGACCAAAATATAATTCTTGATTTTCTACATCAAATCTGTTCCTTGCCCAGACTTTCCACTTGCTTAGGCCAAACATTTAGGAGTTATCATTAACTACTCTCTTGCTCACACACACATCAATCTTCAGCCAGCATAGTAGACTCCTCTTTCAGTAATAACTCATAAGCAGCCACCTCCCTCTGCCTCCAATGCAGAGGGAGTTGCTGAACAAGAGACCAGTTCAGCTGGATTTCTCAATCATATCATTGGTCTCTGTCTGTACTGCTGTTTCCCCATAATCCTTTCAGCAGTGGTTAGAGTAAACTTTTAAAAATGTAGAATGGGTCATTTCACTTCAGTGCTTAAAACCCTCTGAAGCCTTCTCTTTATATTTATACTTTAAAATCAAATAAAACAAAATTTAAGACCCTAACTATGGCTAACACCATCACGATCCAGCCTCTGGCGTCTTCTCTCTAGTATTAGGGTCTGTCTCATGCTCACTCCACTCTAGCCAATCAGCCTTTCTACTTGTGTTCCTGGACCAGGCCCAGCTTGTTTTCTCTTGGCTTTACACTTGTGTTATACCCTCTGCCTGAAATACTCTTCCCTGAAACGTTCCATGGATTGCCCCTCAACGTAATTTAGGTCTCTCTCCAAGAGTCATTCCTCAGAGGGACCTGACCCAACCTAAGAGAGCTTCTCACCCATAATTCTCTACTCCCTAATCTTGTTTAATTTTTCTCCATAAAACTTATCACTTACCAAAATTTGTATGTATTTGTTTATTTTTAGTTTGACACAGGGTCTCACTCTGTTGCCTGGGCTGGGTAGGATCGTAGCTTACTGCAGCCTTAACCTCCCAGTCTCCAGTGATCCTCCTGTCTCAGCCTCCTGAGTAGCATACACCACAATGCCCAGCATTTTTTTTTTTTTTTTCAGAAGAGACAAGGTCTTGCTGTGTTGCCAAGGAAGTTCTCAAACTCAAGCAGTCCTCCCACCTTGGCCTCCCAAAGTGCTAGGATTACAGGCATGAGCCACCACACTTGGCCAGTTTATTTCTCAGTTTGCCTCCCTCACTAAAATGTGAGCCTGGGCCAGGAGTTGGTGGCTCACACCTATAGTCCCTGCACTTTGGGAGGCCAAGGCGGGAGTATCACTTGAGCCCAGTTCAAAACCAGCCTGAGCAGGATGGCGAGACCCCATCTCTAAAAAAATAAAAATAAAATAAAATAAAATAGAATAAAATAGCCAGGCTTGGTGGCTCACACCTCTAATCTAAGCTACTCAGGAAGGTTAGGCAAAGGAATCCCTTGAGCCCAGGGGTTCATGGCAGCAGTGAGCGGTAATCACATGACTATACTCCAGTCTGGGTGACAGAGTGAGACCCCATCTCTAAAAAAATAATAATAATAAATGAAAAAATGTGCTTTATGAAGGCAAGGGCTCATTCCTTACCACACTGTGTCTCCTTAGCATATATCCAATCCAGGGTCCTATCCCTATCTAACATCCTCTATACTTATTTCCCTGTTTATTAACTCTCACTCCCAGAATTCTATAAGCTCCTCAAGGGCAAGAATTATTTTCTAATCTTATTTATCCCCAGAACCCAAAACAGTGCTTATACAGTATTTGTGCTAAACAAGTATTTGCTAAATAAATGAATGCTATATATAATTTAATGGGGGTTTTTTTTGGTGTTTTTCACCTTACCTTGATTGCTTTTTGAATATTTACGCACGAATCTCTTATGGTCTTCAGTAACTTATTGAACCGTCCCATCTCTTGGACAAGTACAGTGTTCATGCTCTGAGTATAAGTTGTTGGGTACCTCCTCATGGCAGCCTCGATGTCGAAGTTGTTTGGAAGTTTGCCCAAGATGTCACTAGCGACCTCATTCACTACTTCATCTGATGATTTTGCACCAGCACCTGCTGAACGAGACTATGAAGAATCCAAACTATAACTCAAAAATCCTCATAAAGGTCTAACAATAGCTGAATAGGAAAAATCCTAAGGTAAATCTTTATAAGAAAGAACATTGCTCTCTATTTTATCCATGATCCATCTCCACACAAGATTTATTAAAGTGATGGTAACAGGCAGGAGGATGGATTTTCAAGGGAAAACTATTGTTAGAGAGGAGGAATAAGGGCATGTAATGTGTTCAGAGGCAAAAGAGGATCTGGAGAAAGCAAATAAGCTGTATGCTTGGCTGCCAGGGTACAGGGGGAGTTGCAGATGCTGCAGATAGTGGAAGAAAAAGCATTGCACTGGTGGAGTGGCCAAGCGATGGCGGGCATTAAAACCCAGATGGGGGAAATCTCATCTTGCTTTGAGAAAGCATGCCACAAAATATATTTGCCAATAACTCTGGTGTCTACTGGTTGCCAAAAGCAGAGATATAGTTTTCTCCTTGAACCAGGAGAGAAAGAAAATAAGCTCATCTCCTCTAAGCAGCTGGAAGAGTTATGGACGAAAGACAGACTTTAGTGATTCACGTTGGAAGCAAGGAAGGAGAATTTCAATTCCATTTTTGTTTTTTATATTTATGGTGGCATTGTGTAAATGAATCTATATTTTCTGAAAAAAAAATTAAATCCTCAGAACAAATGAATATGGGGTATGTGTTGAAAGAAAACAAGTACTATTAGAACATAAATAAATACATCTCATGTTTTACCAGTCAAAGGAAACTGTGTTTAGTCTTCTTTTAGATTTTGTTTCCTGGTTTCTGTACTATAAATATTAACATGCTCAAAATTGATTCTGAAAATATTAACTTTTTTATTGTTTTTTAATATTAATTATTTTTACCTAAGTTTCTACTGTGACTTTTTTTTTTTTTTTTTGAGATGTAGTCTCACTCTGTTGCCCAGGCTGGAGTGCCGTGGCACGATTTCCGTTCGCTGCAACCTCTGCCTCCCGGGTTCAAGCACTTCTCCTGCCTCGGTCTCCCAAATAGCTGGGATTATAGGGGACTGCTACCACGCCTGGCTAATTTTTGTATTTTTAGTAGAGACAGTGTTTCACCATGTTGGCCAGGCTGGTCTCAAACTCCTGGCCTCAGGTGATCCGCCTGCCTCGGCCTCCCAAAGTGCTGGGATTATAGGCATGAGCCACCGTGCCCGGCCTCTACTGTGATTTTAACACTACTTACCACATACCACCATAATATCCTATACAGTTACACAATAAAATAATTAAATGTTGGTACATTTTAATTATGGGCTATTAAAAAAGAGATATGCTCGTATAATAATCCTTTATTATGATTCCATAGTACCGGGTTTACAACAAAATATAAAAAACAAATCATAGAGAACGAAAAGTATTTGGCTAAAACTAATGAAATATCTAATTCCATTATATTTAAAGAATCTATGCTGATTTCCAGTAGTATTTTGGTGTGCATAAAAGGCAGCAAAAACTCATTAAAATATTCCCATATTCTAACAAGAGCTGTGCCTCTGCAAAAAAAAAAAACAAATCCAGGTCTATGGTTCTTCAAAAAACGTAAAAAAAAAAAAATTTAATAACGCAAACATTCCCCTTACCTATTTCTCACACACAAAGATCACATGATTACGGTGATAGGTTTTTGAAAGTAATATCCAACTGATACTGATAATTAAGAGCAATTGGGTCCTATTTATTTATAATTATTTATCTTAGCTTTTTCTTCTTTACTATCTTTCTTTAGAGTTATCACAAATAGCATCTGGAATCTTCTAAGGGTTATTTTCCTCTTAAAGATAAGTGGAATTCATTTTCAGAGACATCAGAAAGTTTAACCTTTTCAGAGATCCTAGACTATTATCTAGTTTTATAATATTCTAAGTTGAAACAATTTTTCTATTCTAAATAGTGTGTGGCAGTTAACCACAAGCAAAGGAGCTCTGCACAAGCAAACTTCTTAGCTCTGATAGCTTCCTCTTTTATTTTTTCCAAGATAAATTAGTTAAATACAAAAAGTCTTGTCATCATTAACTTGCTCTCCAAGCTCTGCAGTTCTGGTCTCTTTACCTCTGAATTGTGATAAACCCAATCTAGAATCACTGAACTACTGCTCACCCATAACTATAATTGTATTCGCCAACCTGAGTTTGAGGATTGAAAGAGGCTGTTTAATTATTTACTGAAAAGATACCCCTTGTGTATTTAAACTTATTTGTCTGGTTCAGAGTCATTTTCTGTTGGAATGACCCCACTGTTTTACGTATTCTGTAATGTGGCACACCCCGTCAAGTTTAAGTAAAGCCAAAAGACACTGTTAATGTCCTGTTGTCAGACTGTTGTGTATTACATGCAATCTAATGCTCCTAAAGAGCTACTCATTCATGTTTGCACATATACTTTTATGCCCAGGCAATAACTGATTTTAGTGCTATCAATATCTAAAATGGATGTAAAAATAGTCTTTGTTCCTTTTCCCTTATTAGAAAATGTCATAGTAGAGTAGACCAGAGATAGGAGTTCCATGGACTCTTCCATTATTCCATTATGCTATTACTAATGAATAGTCCACATTATCCTTCTAATTTTTAGCTTTTTAAGAATCTCTGGCTATCTGCCTTTCAGAATCTGGAAAGAGAATATAGCACAGTGGTTTAGAACACAAGATTCTGGAGCCAAACTGGTAGGAGCCAGACCGCTTGGTTTTGAGTCCTGATTTGAAATCGTACTAGCTGACTTTGGGCAAACTGCTTAATCTTTCTGTGCCTCACTTTTCTCACTGTAAAATGGGAATAGTAATAGTTAGACTCTACTTCGAGGGACTGTCATTAGCATTGCATTGTTATACATAATAGCACTTGGAACAGCACTAGTACAGAGTAAGCACTATACAAAAGTATTAACTGTTGCCATTTTTACTCTGAGATGCCACAAAAAGATCAGTTACAATTCAGTTAATAGGATAATTTGCTTGACTGATTATTCTTCCTTAATTCATCAAAATTTTATTGAATCATTATGGGAACTCTTGCCATTTGGACTAATTTCCTTTCAAAAACAAATCAAATTAACAACTGAGCATATCTTCTAAAGGAATAACAATACAAGATAGCTTCCTCTTTTATTTTTTCCAAGATAAATTAGTTAAATACAAAGTCTTGTCATCATTAACTTGCTCTCCAAGCTCTGTAGTTCTGGTCTCTTTACCTCTGAATTGTGATAAACCCAATCTATCTCTTAATAGACAAGCAAGATTAGCAGATGTTCTTCATTAAAATGTACTGACCTGTGCTCACGGCAGCTAAATTCTGGTGTCTTTGCAGATTGCTTTCCCACACCCCAGTGCGCTTATGCACTCTCCAGGAGAGCTGCATCTACAAATTCTTCTCCTATACTTTTAAATTCATTTTGTACTTACTATTGCAATTATATTTTAAATGTTATACTAATATAAATCTGAAAAAATATGAGTGTGAATGAAACTGTGTCCATGTAAATCAGTTTAAATGTTCTGGAACAGCTGTTGAAATACTAGGGGACTGGAAAATAAAATAGGTAAAATTTTAGATGAATTCTCTCATCAAACTGCTTCCCAAGTATCTTTGCAATTCTTCTTCCTCTTTAAAGAAATTTAAAAGGGACACAATGTATGATGTATTTAGGTAGGGCAAGAAAGGCAAAATGAAACTCCTAGAAGCAGAATGATACTTAAAGAATATATCTGGGTTCCCAAAAAAAGATAGATGAAAAAAAAAAAAAAACACACGTTCAGGTACTTAGTGTTCAAATCCTTATTTAAGTTATGTATGTATTTTTGTCTTTTCCTTTAAATGTTTCTCCACTTGAACAGAATTGTGTAAGGAAGCCTGTTCAGTGCTGGCACACGTGCCTGGGGAGCATCCTTCCCAGGCCTCAGAATCCAGGTCCTATACAGATCACACACCTGTGTAAGAAGAATGTTATCAAATAGCAGCTGAGTTTCTGACTGATCCTTAGTGATATCTGCATTGGCATTCATCCCAAAGATTTCTGGTGCTGGGGTCAGTGGCAGAGTCTTTGTGTATTCGATGTAGCTTTTGTGCTGCAGAGATGAATAACAAGAAGTCAGGAGGTTAGAAATCAATTACTTTCTAGAACTTTTCACAGAAAAGAGGCAGTTTTCAATACTCAAGTTATTGACTGGATAGGCCTGTGACACTGGACATTGAGTGCTTTCACTTTCTTTCAGCCTGGGCCAAAGTTTAAAAAAAAATATGAACAGCTAGGCGCGGTGGCTCACGCCTGTAATCCCAGCACTTTGGGAGGCCGAGGCGGGTGGATTACCTGAGGTCGGGAGTTTGAGACCAGCCTGACCAACATGGAGAAACCCCGTCTCTCCTAAAAATACAAAATTAGTCGGGTGTGGTGGCACACACCTGTGATCCCAGCTACTCAGGAGGCTGAGACAGGAGAATCACTTGAACCCAGGAGACAGAAGTTGCGGTGAGCTGAGATTGCACCATTACACTCCAGCCTGGGCGAGAAGAGTGAAACTCCATCTCAAAAAAAAAGAAAAGAGGAAAAAAAAAGAATGTATTTACAGAGAAAAAGAAAATGTACCTTTCAATTGGAATGGGTTTTTTAATGGGGGGGAGGGGAATCCTGGTAACTTCATTTAGAAATTACCTACAGAGAAATCTTTGTGTCATATTTTGCTGATGATTATTCTTATCACAATAAAAATATTTTTTTTCTGATTTACTCTGATTATTCTGTTTACTCTTACTGTAAAAAATTCACCCAATTCAAAAAAGTAAAAATTATTTAAAATTCTATTATTCTGATAATCACCATTAACATTATACTTCTTTTTATGCATACACACATATTTTATATTTTATTTAAATGGACGTCTATTAAAATTTCATACCTTCCTTGATGCTCATAGAATCATATACAAACATCCACACACACACATGGCAAAGGGGGTTTGGTCATGGATGGCTTTATGATTTGGGTCACTTTGCAAACACCTTACTTCATCTTGCTTTTTTCTCACTTGGCAATTCATCATTGGAGATCTTGTTACCCCAGCTCCCATGTTGACTTGCTGTACCCAACAGTGACCTAGGCTTTGGGAGTGATTTTTCCCTTTATCTATACCAACATCTGCCCTTGGCTAGCATTAATCCTAGTGGAAGATGAGGTTAGGGTTGGGGGGTTACAGTATGTGTTTCTGTTGCTTGTGTTTAACTTTCAATATATGCCCTTTGACTTCTGGGAATAACATGAGAACCAACTTGATTGTCTTAGCAATCTCTAGAAATCCACTGTGATCATCAGAAGGCAGTGGACAGGACTGGAGAAGAGCAGAAGGGAATCTTGGTCTTGTGCTGCAGGTGGGTCTGTGACTCGCTGCCACCTTCTTACCTGTGTGGCCTTGGGCAAATTATTCTACTGTAATGAACCTGCTTTCTCATTTGTAAAAGGGATAAAATAATAATACCAATGTTAATTTGATGCTCTAGTGAGATAATTACTTGCAACTGACTTCCAAATAATTATAAATATTAACTACTACTGCTAATAATATTTTGCTAATACCATCTCTTATGTATTTTCATTTTAATTGGGGACAATGTCTTTTTAGCCAAAGGACTGAGTTTATGATGACAGAACTTCAGGTCACTGAAAAAGCGTGAGACACGTTTCTGATACTTCTTACATTACAGTGAACAGGAAACCCCTAACTCCACCTATAGCGTGAGCTTTGTTTTATCCCTATATGACTGAAGAAAGCACAGACAAGGGTAACAAAAAAACAAGGCCTGCAGCAAAATCACCATTTAAAAAATATCATCACTACCAAAATAATTTCATGTCTTACTGCTTTTAGTTTTTTTGAAGGGCATACTTACATCACCAGAAGGAGGAACAAAATAGATGCCACTTGAGTCGAACTTATAGTCTGAATTTTCAACTAATTCGGGATTGAAGAATTTGTTTAGAATGCTGCGCAGCGTGCGCCGGTCCCAGTCATCGGTCACTCTGCCTCCGTAATTGCATTCGCCAGTCATGTACCGCAGAGCCTCATACGGCAGTTCCTAAAATAGTGCGTGTCAGTCAACCAGTTATCAGTAGCATGTTATACAGAATCGTGTTTCTTGTTTTTTCCTATTACTAAATTAAACATCTTACAAAAAGTTCGCATTAACACAACTTCCCTTCGTATGCTTCCCTGCTAATTGTTGCCATTTTTCCCAGGGCCGTTCACTTCTTTTCTGGCTTTTTATTTCCATCCAGTCAATGCTGAGAATGGAATTCCTCTATTAAGTTGTGAATTTATTGTCTATTCAACCAAAATTATTTCAACACCTACTATGTGCCAGATACGAATGAATTAGATCATAATATCATCTATGAAAACTTTGCACAGCTGAGTGACATGCAAAGCAGATAGAGTGTAATTCAGAGGGCCGGGCATGGTGGCTCACAACTGTAATCCCAGCACTTTGAGAGGCCAAGGCGAGAGAATCACTTGAGCCCAGTAGTTTGAGAACAGCCTGGGCAACATGGGGAGACCCTGTCCCTACCAAAAAAAAAAAAGTAACCAGGTATAGTAGCACATGCCTATAGTCCCAGCTAGGGAAAGGGCTGAGGTAGGAGGATCGAAGCTGCAGTGAACAATAATTGTGCCACTACTCTCCAGCCTGGGTGACAGAGCAAGACCCTGTCTGAAAAAAAAAAAAAATAAATAAATAAATATATATATATATATATATATATATACACACACACACATATATATACACATATATATATACACATATATATACACATATATATATACACATATATATATATAATAAAACTCAGAGATCAGCAGTGTTACTTCACCACCTTTCAATATCCATATATATTTGACAATTTGAATCATATATATACATATACACAATTGTACACTTTTTTTTTTTTTTTTGAGACTGAGTTTCACTCTTGTTGCCCAGGCTGGAGTGCAATGGCACGATCTCGGCTCACTGCAACCTCCACCTCCCGGGTTCAAGCATTTCTCCTGCCTCAGCCTCCCGAGTAGCTGGGACTACAGGCATGTGCCACCACGCCCAGCTAATTTTTTGTATTTTTAGTAGAGACGGGGTTTCACCGTGTTAGCCAGGATGATCTCGATCTCCTGACCTCATGATCCGCCTGCCTTGGTCTCCCAAAGTGCTGGGATTACAGGCGTGACGTACCGCTCCCAGCCAGACTGTACACTTTTTTTTCCACAAATTCCTATATGACTTCTTTTACAATTTCATAAAACATTCTTTGAAAATACTATTTTAATAACTGTTTTCTAATATTAAACACTTTCATTGCTTCTAATTTTTTAGTGTGCTGAATCATGTTCATTAAATATACATTTCTTAAAATGTCTAATGATTCTTCAGTCTAGATTCCTGAAAAGGAAATTACTATTTTCTTTCCAAAGAAAGAAGCTTATAAAAAGCAATTTATAAACATTACCAGTCTGCTTTTCCAAAAAGCTGAAGCATTTGTAGCAGCCAGTTTTAAAATCTTTGCTAATATGGTAGGTCAATAATATTATTTTAATTTGCATTTCTAGAACAATAGTGAGGTCCACAATTATTTCATATGTTTTATAATATTTGTTGTTTTTTTTTTAAACTAGCCTCCTATCTACTTTTCCTATTAAAGTATTGTAGGGTTTTTTTTGTTTGTTTTTTGAGTCAGAGTCTTGCTCTGTCACCCAGGCTGGAGTACAGTGGTGTGATAAGGGCTCACTGTCTCCACCTCCAGGGTTAAAGAGATCCTCCTACCTCAGCCTCTCAAGTAGCTGAGACTACAGATATATGCCACCATGCCCGGCTAATTTTTGTATTTTATGTAATGGTGGGGTTTCACCATGTTGCCCAGGCTGGCCTCGAACTCCCAGGCTCAGGCAATCCACTGCCTCAGCCTCCCAAAGTGCTGGGATTACAGGCATGAACCACTGCACCCTGCCCTATTAAAGTTTTAATAGTACTTCTTTGTATATACTCTTTTATAAACTGACTTTTATTTTTCAAATTTGTGGAAATATTTTTTCTACTTAGTTTTAAAAAGTATTTTATTATGTTCTTTAGTGTATAGAATTTTTAGTTTATGAATGCAATGGTGTTGATTTCTCACATTGCAATTTATTTTATCCTGAGCATAAATACTCACACACCCACTAGCAGTACAGAAAATTCTATTTCTCACTACTCTCAAGAAAACAGAGTATTATCATTTAGGAAAATAATTGATAATAAAACAATATAATTATTTTTAATTTTGATTTTGACATTGGCACTCTCAAAATTTTTATTCACCATTTGTATTTCTTATTTTATAAATTATTCACTCTGATCTATGTTTTTCTAATTTAAATGGTTATCTTCTTTTTCTTATTCAAAAGCTCTTTGTAAAAACTGAATCAGTCTTTCAGATAAAATTTTAAATATTTTATCCATTTTGATTTATCTTTTACTTCTATGATGTTTATGATAGTTTAATATAGCAATATTTAAAAATATTTTATGCTAGGCCAGGCGCGGTGGCTCACACTTGTAATCCCAGCACTTTGGGAGGCCGAGGCAGGTAGATCACTGGAGGTCAGGAGTTTGATACCAGCCTGGCCAACATGGTGAAACCCCATCTCTACTAAAAATACAAAAATTAGCTGGATGTGGTGGAGCAAGCACCTGTAACCCCAGCTACTCAGGAGGCTGAGGCATGAGAATCACTTGAACCTGGGAGGTGGAGGTTGCAGTGAGCCGAGATCGTGCCACTGCACTCCAGCCTGGGCAACAGGGCAAGACTCTGTCTCAAAATATATATATATATCTCAAAAAATATATATATTTTTATACTAAAATATAGTAATCTCTTGAGAATTTTTTCATCATTTTTGTGCTTTCTGTGTCCTCCTTACAGTAACCTACTAAAATCTAAAGTGCATAGATCTGACATTCTAGTGATCCCACTTTGAGCAAACCTTTCAAGTAGAAACAGTAGCACTAGGGTAAGTAGTAGTGATTAGAGAGGGGAAATTTATTGAATTAGATGCTGGAAATTATAAGACTTGTTATTTGGTAGAACTAGAACTTAAGGCAGTGAATTTAGGAGAACACGTGTCAGTGACAAAGCCCTTGTGAAAAAAAAAACAAATCAAATCAGGAAGAATTGCAGAACATTTATATGCTTCCAACTGCAAATGTGAGTGGAGTTTGATGATACACACACTGCCTGGGCTTGCGCTGTTGACAGGCCCTAACCCCATAAAAATGAAGTACAATAAGAAAATGAAATATAATAAGAAAACTCAATGCAAATCAAATAAGTAGTAAATGAGGTAGAGGTGGATCAGCTAGCCCCTGAGAAGGCTTTGTGATGTAGACATAGATGAGATATGGAGGAGGAGAATTTCATAAGGGTTAAACTTGGCCAACATGCCCCTGAGAGTCCATGAGGTAAATGCTATCTGTTGTTTCTCTCAGAAGTTTGGTCAAATCCAGGGCCAATTAAATTGAGGAGTGTTTTCCCCAGGGGTGGGTGGGTTGGTGGGCATGTAGATTACTAAAGTTTCTAGAAATAGTGGCAGTTTGCTGCTTGGATTGCTTCCCTGTTCCTTGTTACAAGAGGGTTGAGACAATGAGCAGCAGGAGAGAGTAGGTGAAAACAGGGCTTGAAGTCAACAACTAGTATTCATGGTTATATAAGAAGTTCGTTTTAACCTTAACTAGCAAAACACACACACACACACAAAATCTTAGTTATCAAAAAGGGGAAATGCTGTGTAAGTGGTCATTAAAATGAAGATCTCTATCTACTTTGAAAGTTATCCACAACATATGTAGGTAAAAAAAAGTAAGCTGAAGATAAATATGTACACTATAATAATGTTTTTGAGAAAAAATTATGTGTGTATTGTGTTTATATATGTGTATCTATATATGCACAGGAAAATGTCCAGGCACATATGCCCCAGGATGTGAAAATGGTTGCCTTGGGGATCAGTTAGGGTCAGAATGAGGGGTGAGAGGTGGGTCTTATACACACACACACACACACACACACACACACACACACACACAGACACACCCCTACCAAAACAAGAATGACAACGCAATTGCCCATCTGTCAAGTAGATAATATATATCCACCTAAATTTTCTTCTTTTACACTTTTAATTTTTTCTATTTAGTCTTTTTGGATCCAACAGAAATTATATATGAAGAATCTACTTTAGCAAATAACCAATTATTCTAACTTCATTTATCGAATACCTCTTCCATTTCTAATGTTGATTGTTCAAGAAGGAGTGCATTAGACTTAATAATGTCAAAGGGAGCTATGAATCCACATTCCGCAAAGAATCCCTCTTTAACTCATGATGAAGTATACATGACTCAAGTATAGCAGTTTTGGCAAGTTTGCAATACAATTACTATGCTGGAGGAATTGTGAAGCACTTGCTGACTTGTCATTTAATAGAAGGAACCACTTTGGTCAGTGAAACATGTCATTTAAAGATTCTTGAAGAAAGTGAAATAGCTCATACTTGTACCACATAATTATTTATCATTTTTTATTTAATACATTTAAATATCATATTCTTTCACTATAAATGAACTAAAAGAACCACAGAAAAACGTGTAAATTAGCCATTTTTTTCCAAAAAAAATCGTATTATTTCTGCGAAGTCCTGAAAGTTAGATGGAGTTCAGCATTTAAAAAGACATAACACTTTTGAAATTACTGTTGCAAATCCAACAGGCACTTAATTTATTCTCTCCAGCATTTAACAGGATGAACTATTCTTGATACTCTTTATTTACTCAGCTTGCTCGCTCCTGCTTTTTTTCCTGGCTGCACCATCTGCCCTCCATGTCTTCTGTTCTCTCTCCTACCATTGTGTTTTGGTGCTCACCAACATACAATCTTTGTTCTCTTCTTTTTCTACAGCACAAGGCCCCCCCTTTAAATCTCATCTATTTTCAGGCTTCTCCTAACACTTGAATAACCTATAAATCTCTATTTTGTGCTCTCTCTTCCCTTGAGTTTTATATCTATATGCCAAGAGCCTAAAAGACATTTTTACCTGGATATCCACTCGCCCATCTGCTCTATACCTATTAATGCCTGGTTCTATTCCCTGTCTGGATTAATGAATGAAATCACCACCAATCCACACCAGAAAACTCACATCAACCAAGGCTTCTCCCTCTCCCTTTACCATTGAATATATAAGTCATTTCAATCCTTTCCCCTACATATCCATTGTATCTCTACCATGTTCCCTAATCTTGCTCAAATGATTTCGTTTAGACTCTTATCGTTATCTGCCTGGGTTATCATGATAGTCTCCTGTATTACTTTTCTATGACACCAATAGGTGGCTTAAAATGATAGAAATTTATTTTCTAACAGTGCTGGAGCCTAAAAGTCTGAAATCAAGGGACTGGCAGGCCACACTCTCTCTCAAGCCTCTGTAAGGATCTTTCCCAGCCTCCTCTAGTTGTAGCTCCAGGTGTTCCTTGGCTTGTGGCAGCACAACTCAAGTCTCTGCCTCTGTCTTCACATGGCTGTCTTCCTTCTCTGGGTGTGTTCAGATTTCTCTCTTTTTATAATGACACTAGTCATATTAGATTAACGGCCCAACCTACTCCCACATGACCACATTTTAACTTAACTAGTTACACTCACAATGACCCCATCCCAAAATAATGTCACATTCTGAATTACCATGGATTAAGACTTCAACATGTCTTTTACAGGGACACAATTCAACTCCTAGTATCTCCTAAAACCAGCCTGCCAGCTAAGTCTCTCTAAATCCACTCTCCATTCTGTTGTAAGAGTGATCTTCCTAAAAGGCAAAAATAGTCTCCAAAAAGCACACCAATAACAACAGAATAACCACCAAATTAGTTGGCATGGCATAACGTTCCAAATCACTCACAGTTAACCAAATTTTTTCACTGATTTGTACTTTTTTTTTTTAAGACTATTTTTAAAGAACAGTTTTAGGTTCACAACAAAACGGAACAAAAGGTATGGGGATTTCCCACATATTCCCTGTCCCCATACCTGCACAGCCTCCCCCAGTATCAACATCCATGACCAAAGTGGCACACGTCTTACAAATGATGAGCCTACACTGACACATCATTCATGAGGACTCGAAGTCCACAGCTGACATTAGGGTTCACTCCTAGGGTTGTACATCCTATGGATTTGGACAGATTCATAATGCTGTGTATCTACCATTACAGTATCATATAGAATATTTTTGCTGCCCTAAATAAAAATCATCTGTGTTCTACCTATTCATTTTTTTTTCCTACCTAAGCCTTGGGAACCAATAATCATTTCACTGTCTCCACAATTTTGCCTTTTTCAGGATGTCATATAGTCGAAATCACAGACTACGCAGGCTTTTTAGACTGTATTCTCCCACTTAGCAATATGCATTTAAGTTTTCTCCATGTCATTTTATGGTTTAATAGCTTATTTCTTTTTAGCACGGAATAATATCCCATTGTCTGAATGTATCACAGTTTATCCATTCACCTACTAAAGGACATCTTGGTTGCTTCCAAGTTTTGCCAATTATGAATAAAGCTTCTACACATCTATATGCAGGTATTTGTGTGGACCTAAGTTTTCAACTGCACTGGGAAAATACAAAGGAGCATGATTGCTGGATCATATGGTAAAAGGATGTTTAGTTTTATAAGAAACTGCTAAAGTATCTTCCATAGTGGCTGTACCCACACCAGCAATTAATGAGAGTTCCTGCTGCTCCACATCCTTGTTAGCATTTGGTGGTGTCAATGTTCCAGATTTTGGTCATTCTAATAGATGTGTAATGGTCTCTCATTGTTTTAGTTTTTATTTCTCTGATGACATATAATGTGGACCATCTTTTATATGCTTATCATATTGTATATATTTATTACTGAGATGTCTGTTAATATCTTTGACCCTTTTTTTTTTTTTTTTGAGATGGAGTCTCGCTCTGTCACCCAGGCTGGAGTGCAGTGGGCATGATCTCGGCTCACTGCAAGCTCCGCCTCCCGGTTTCACGCCATTCTCCTGCCTCAGCCTCCCGAGTAGCTGGGACTACAGGCTTCTGCCATCACGCCCGGCTAATTTTTTGTATTTTTAGTAGAGACGGGGTTTCACCGTGTTAGTCAGGATGATCTCGATCTCCTGACCTCGTGATCTGCCTGCCTTGGCCTCCCAAAGTGCTGGGATTACAGGCGTGAGCCACCGCACCCGGCCGACCCATTTTTAAACCAGGAATTTTGTTTCCTTATTGTTGAGTTTTAAGAGTTTGTTGGATATTTTGGATAAGAGTCCTTTTTCGGATACGTCTTTTACAAACATTTTCTCTCAGTCTGTCTGTGTGTGTGTGTGTTTTTAATTTAATTTAATTTATTTTTTTAAGACAGGGTCTTGTTTAGCTAGGACTTGTATTAGCTAGGACTTCTAGTACAATGTCGAAAGCAGTAGTGAGAAAGGATATCATTGCCTTGTTCCTGATCTTGGTGGGAAAGCTTCTAGTTTCTCTCCATTTAAGTACAATTAGCTGTAGGTTTTTTGTATGTTTGTTTAATCAAGTTGAGGATGCTCCCCTCCATTCCTAGTTTACTGAGAGCTTTTTTTTTTTTTTTTGGTTGTTGTTTTAAATCATGAATGAGTTGGATTTTTTCAGATGTTTTTTCTGCATCTATCGATATGATCATGTGGTTTTTCTTCTTCAGCCTTCTAATTCATTAACTGAATTTGTAATGTTAAACCAGTCTCGCATACCTGCATACTTTTAACTGACTCTTCATTAAATAATATTTTAAATTAGAATATACCCTACAAGTGTTCAGAACAAATTCCTAAATGGAAGAGCTTCTCATCCTTTTTTATTTTTTTTGTTTTGAAAAGTGTAATTATAGCTCGAATACTTCCTCAGGCACTGTATCACTGCATTTTTGCTCCCTTATTAGTGTATTTTTTGGATAAATGTTACTACAAGAACAAAGCTCATTAAATTTATGATTCTTTTGAATATTTTGTCAAATTTAGATGCTGCAGAATTGAGGGCTTTCTGAATTCATTCTATAGAATAAGAATTTGTCTGATGAAACACAGAAGCCCAAATAAAAGATTCTTCACATAAGTTTAGATACACCATCTGAACTCTCAGTATTTATTTTGTTCAGTTTCTTCTTTACTTTTATAGAGATAGAATCCAATGCCTTCCTGTTTGTAAGCCTCTTTAAAAAGTCATAATTTACTAAGTTTCAAAAACCAAAACTTTTTCATACTCAATTGACGAAATGATTTAGTTATAGATTTCAAACTAAATTTGAACAAAATTGTCAAAACTTAGAGGATTAACTTTCAGAAAAAGGCCTCATATTTTTATAGGACATTTGGGTTTATTTACCAAGTGCTTCTTCAAAGGTACAGGCATGTCAAAAATCCCATTGATAAATAGCAAAGAGAGAAAGGGTACCGCCATGCTGCATGTGTATGAGTACATCAGAACTGGAGAGGCTGAAATGTGGTCTATGTGACAACATTAGGCTGTTCGGCTTCTTTCCACAGTCTATACCCCAGGTTAACACCAATGGCTTAAATAGATTTTTTTTTTTTTTCCTGACAAATGGTCCAAGCTCTGGAATAATGGTATAACGACATTTCCCTAAAAATAAAGTCATACTCCACAAAGGAAGACAACTGGTCTGTTTGTTTTTTACATTTTGGAACCTGGTTAATAGTCTTCTCAAGTCCTTTTCAAAATAAGTATAATATTATCATTTTTTGGATCTCCCTAAGTGTTTGTGTGTCAAAATAAATGATATATCATGGGTTTCTAATAGACAAACTGATGTCCTAACTACCTAGTATAGCAGTTATAATACCCTATTACAATAAAGTACTACTTAATAAGCTGTTGGGAACTACTCTCCTATTCATTTCATAAGAGTAGAAATTAATCAGAAGTGCCCACTTACTATAACACACTTATAACATGATAAAGAGCAACATAGGTAATGTCCTTGCTGTGATTTTTATGATACCTCATACTGGTTCAGGAACATGTGGAGCTGCTGTACGCTGATTCTCAGATCTGTCTCATTGAACTCATAAGGAATATTCCACCCTAGGGGTCCAAATTTCCGTCTTTCTTGTACCAAAGCATGAAAGAAACACAGGCCATAAAGCAATTTCTTGAATTCCTCCTGTAATGAGAAGAAATGATGCCGCATCATTATTTTCTCCATATATTGCATTATATTTACCATATTTTAAAATGAAAGCAAATTTCTTTCATTTATAAATAGCATAGGGACATATTCATCCCAAATTACAATTATAACAGAGTTAAGTATGTTTCTACAGCTTTTCAAGCAAAGTATGTCCGTCTGTGTATATGTTCACATAGCTATGCACACATAGCTGTGTACCCCAGGTTTTTAGGAAGCATGGGAGGCTCATCTAACTTAATGCTGCGTTACAGATTTTTGAGGTCCTTACTGAAGCATCATAAGGCAACATGTAACAATTCCAACGTGTGCTCCCAGATCACCATGGAGAAATGTTAAAGGAGATAATTCGAACCGATTAGAGGTCTCTAAAACCCACGAGGAGAATAGGAAACAAGGAAAATAGAACTTTAAAGAGGATTTGTGAAGAGATTTCCTGGGAGGGAACAGCTGTTATGCTGGGAGTCCCCTTCCCCTAATCCCCAGTAGGGAGGGTTGTGTGGGGTCTACCCTCTAAGTTCGAGTTAGTGAGAAGGAATTGATGGGGCCACCTGGAGAGCTGACACATGTCCCCTGCAGCTGGGGCAGGGTGGAAAGTAGGGAGAGGATGGTAAAAGTGAAGTCGCCACACTCCTCCAACAGTGGGCCCATCCAGTGGGAATCCCAAGGAGCAGACGGAGAGTGTGGGCTGAGAATGGGAGCTGGGGGTCATTTTAAAGGTGCCCTGGTTAAGAAGACTTCTGCCACGGGGTGAGGAAACCCCAAGGGTAAGAGCCTGTATGAAGGGAGTGCTGGAGAACCAGAAGCTGAGGAGGATTTGGAGTAGCCATCTTGAGTAGAGACACTGCCAAAGGTGACAGAGTCACAGTCACAGAAGTCCAGCAGGGGAGCCTAAGGAGAACCCATGAAAACACTCACAAGAGATTTCACAAAGAGCTCAAGGGTCAGCTTTAAATGATTTGCCAAGTCCAGAGAGCTGTAGGCAATAGCAGCCGCCATCAGGAATTTCTGCCTCTCCCAGCCTTGCCCTCACACACACTTGGAGCTGAGCAGTCAGTATCAGCAGCTATCAAGTGCAGGAGGAGTCACAAGAAGAAAGATGCCAACTCCATCTTCCCCCAAGGGCAGGAAGGCCACCAACTACAAGCCCAAGGTGAGACACTGGGAAGTGGAAACCTAGATTTTGAATAAAAGTTGAAGTAATGATCAATATATTACATTATACTTCTTGGTTTCTGAATCAAGGCTGGCTTTACAATTTAAAATGACTACAGAACACTTTACTACCTAACAGTAACCAGAAAAGTCAAAGAAATGGCATTTTATACAAGAGCAGGGGAAGGGTTTCCCTCACAGAATAACTTTGAAAGGTAGAGTGGGAGACAAAAAAAAAGTTGCATAAATTTAACCACAGAGGTAGTTAAACATGCTGGGCTAATTCTGGACTATTTTCAATATATTAGAGAATTGAGCAAATCAGTAAATGTGCTGATGTGTTGAAAACCAGGCTTCTCATTGCAGAAGAAGGGACATACAAATATGGAATGAGGAAAAGCAAAAAAGATATCTGAGAAGAGTGACTGAAATTGGAGGTATTAGTATGAATTCATCACTTCTAAAATATGTATGTAGTATTTATGTGCACATGAACTTGTCTGCATGTATGTGTATTTGTATATTTGCATGTATGTGTGCATGTATATTTGTATATTTGTGTATGTGTGTACATGTATATACTTCCAAGTTCTCTCCACTGAAAGAGTCAAGAAAATACAGACAGATAATGCAGTAGCAATAAGCTCCTCTAACACCCAAACCATGCTCTCTAATGCCATTCTCCATTAAAAGGAAATGGGATTCTTCAGAAAAATGGCTGATTCCAGGGCTGGGGCAAGATAGGTACACCATGAGCCTGGAACATCTTATGCCAGAAAGTAAGAGGTACTACTGCTACTAATCACCAGATAATAGAATTTTTTTTTTTAATATGGAACCTATACCAAGTACAGAGGAAGCAGTTTGAAGGAGCCCTAACTGACCAACTCTGGAAGAATCTGAGTACCAAAAGACTCAAGTATAGCAATGAAAATACTTAATGTACCATTGAGGGGAAAAAAAAAGCATAGGAATTCATAGTCCATGCCAATTAATAGATAAACAAATGGCGGAGAAGGGAGAACTGTTGCTTGTAGTAGAGTGCCAAGTGTCGAATGTGGAAGGGAGCACTCGGGTAGGAAATAATATTTTTACAATCATCACAGAATAACTGGATCAGGTAAGAATCATCAATGATTACTAATTCTGGGTTGGGGCTGGATTTTGATGAGGAATGGGATATTTTCATGGTGCTAAAGTATCTCCCCCACAGACTGATTATTCCTGGCAAAGGAGAAAGCAGTTATTATACAGTGAGGAAATAAGGCAATACTTTGTCTTGGTGATCAGAATTAGTATCATCAATGAGGGACAAATGGCATCATGTGCCTCCAGATGTGATCTCTGAGCATACAACATCACCTATGGAATATCTTGGCTAAGAATGAATCACCTGAATCTAATCATGAGAAAACATTAAAAAAAAACCCAAAATGAGAAATTTATTAAAAAACAGAGAGGAAGTCCTAGCCAGAGTAAACAGGCAAAAGAAAAAATAAAAGACATCCAAATAGAAAAAGAAGAAGACAAACTATCTCTCTTTGCTGACAATATGATTCTATACCTGGAAAACACCAAAGACTCTGCCAAAAGACTCTTAGAACTGATAAATGACTTCAGTAAAGTTTCAGAATACAAAATCAATGTACAAAAATGAGCAGCATTTCCATACACCAATAATGTTCAAGCTGAAAGCCAAATCAAGGACACAATCCCATTTATAATAGCTGCCTCCCACCCCACACAATACTTAAGAATACATTTAACTAAGGGCTGAAAAATCTCTACAAGGAGAACCACAAAACACCGCTGAAAGAAATCACAGGTGACCTAAACAAATGGAAAAACACTCCATGCTCATGGACTGGAAGAATCAATACTGTTAAAATGGCCATACACCCCAAAGCAATATACACATTCAACACCATTCCTATCAAACTATCAATCATTTTTCACAGAATTAGAAAAAATTAATTCTACAACTCATAAAGAACCAAAAACAGCTTGAATAGCCAAAGCAATCCTAAGCAAAAAGAAGAATACCAGAGTCATCGTATTCCCCAACTTTAAATTATATTACAAGGCTACAGTAACCAAAACAGCATGGTACTGGTTAAAAAAAAAAAAAAAAGAAAAACAGACACATAGACCAATGGAAGAGAATAGAGAACCCAGAAATAAAGCTGCACACCTACAGCCATCTGCTCTTTGACAAAGTTGACAAAAATAAGCAATGGAGAAAAGACTCCCTATTCAATAAATGGTACTGGGATAGCTGGCTAGCCATATGCAGAAGAATGAAACTGGATCCCCACATTTCACCATATTCAAAAATTAGCTCAAAATGGATTAAAGACTTCAATGTAAAAACTCAAACTATAAAAATCCTAGAAGAAAACCAAGGAAATACCCTTCTCAAAATTGGCCTTGGAAAATAATTTTTGGCTAAGTCCTCAAAAGCAGCTGCAACAAAAACAAAAATTGACAAGTGAGACCTAATTAAACTAAAGAGCTTCTGGAGAGCAAAAGAAACTATCAACAGAGTAAAAAGACAACCTTCAGAATGGGAGAAAATATTTGCAAACTATGTATCTGACAATGGTCTAATATCCAGAATCTATAAGGAACTTAAACAATTTAGCAAGCAATAAACAAATAACCCCATTAAAATGGGCAGAAGACATGAACAGACACTTCTTAAAAGAAGACTTACAAGTGGCCAAGAAACATAACAAAAAAAGTGCTCCACATCACTAATCATCAGAGAAATGCAAATCAAAACCACCATGAGATACCTTCTTATACCAGTCAGAATGGCTATTACTAAAAAGTCAAGGCCAGGCTCGGTGGCTCACTCCTGTAATCCCAGCACTTTGGGAGGTGAAGGCGCGTGGATCACGAGGTCAGGAGATCGAGACCATCCTGGCTAACACAGTGAAACCCCGTCTCTACTAGAAATACAAAAAATTAGCCGGGCGAGGTGGCGGGCGCCTGTAGTCCCAGCTACTCGGGAGGCTGAAGCAGGAAAAAAAAAAAAAAAAAAAGTCAAAACACAATGGATGCTGGTGAGGCTGCAGAGAAAAGGGAATGCTTATACACTGTTGGTAGGAATGTAAATTAATTTAGCCACTGTGGAAAGCAGTTTGGAGATTTCTTAAATAACTTAAAACAGAACAACCATTCCACCAAACAATCCCATTACTGTGTGTATATCCAGAGAAGATAAAACATTCTACTCAAAAGACACATGAACTCATATATTCTCAGCACTAATTGCAACAGCAAAGACATGGAATCAACCTTAGTGTACATCAATGATGGACTGGATTAAGAAAATGTAGTACTTATACACTGTGGCATACTATGCAGCCATAAAAAAGAATGAAGTCAGGCCCTTTGCAGCAACATGGATGCAGCTGGAGGCCATTATCCTAAGACAGTTAATGCAGGAGCAGAAAACCAAATACTGCATCTTCTCACTTATAAGTGGGAGCTAAACATTGGGTAAACACAGACATAAAGAAGGAAACAATAGGCCAGGTGCAGTGGCTCATGCCTGTAATCCTAGCACTTTGGAAGGCCAAGGAGGGCGGACCACTTAGGTCAAGTGTTTGAGACCAGCCTGGCCAACATGGTGAAACCCAGTCTCTACCAAAAAATATAAAAATTAGCCAGGTGTGGTGGTGTGCACGTGTAGTCCCATCTACTCATGAGGCTGAGGTGGGATAATCGTTTGAGCCCAAGAGGTGGAGGTTGCAGTGAGCTGTGATTGAGCCACTGCAATCCAACCTGGGCAATAGAGTGAGACCCTGTCTCAAAAAAAAAAAAAAAAAAAAAAGGAACAATAGATACTGGAGACTACTAAGGGGAAAGGGAGTGAGGGGGCAAGGGCTTAAAAACAGTTGGGTACTATGCTCACTACCTGGGTGACAGGATCATTCATATCCCAAACCTCAGCATCACTTAATATACCCATTTAACAAACCTGTAAATGTATCCCCTGAATCTAAAATAAAAGTTGAAAGTACAAAAAAACCAAAAAATACACACACACACACACACACACACACACACACACACACACACATTAAAAAAACAGGGGGAGATGACTTCTTCAGAGATATCAATGTCATAAAAGACAAAGAAAGAATAGGAAAATGTGCCAGATTAAAAGAGACAAAAGAGACGAGGCAATTAAGTATAACACTGAATACTAGACCAATGCTGTCAGGGACAGGAAATGGATATTACTGCATCAACTGACAAAATTGAAACACAAATGATAGATTAAATAACAGTGTATCCTTCTTAAACTTATTAAAAGTAATAACTGTACCAGAATAAGATAATATCCCTATTCTTACAAAATTTACACCAAAAAAATGTAATGATAAAGGGCCATGATATATCTAACTTATCTAATTTACATGCACCTGATGTGGGGGCAGGGGAGGGATGGTCAGGGGAAGGGGGAGAGAGAGAGAGAGGAAATACAAATAATAAAGCAAAAGGAATAAAATATTAACAGGAGATGAATATGGGTAAAAAGGTGTAGGGATGTTCCTTGTACTATTGTTATTTATTTATTTATTTAGAAATAGGGTCTTCTTGCTCTGTCACCCAGGCTGGAGTGCAGTGGGATGATCATGGCTCACTGCAGCCTTAAACTCCTGGGCTCCAGCGATCCTCCCTCCTCAGCCTCTCGAGTAGCTGGGACTATAGGTGTGTGCCACCAGGCCTGGCTAATTTTTTATTTATTTATTTTTATAGAGGTAGGGGTCTCACTATATTGTCCAGGCTGACCACAAACTCCTGGCCTCAAACAATCCTCTTGCCTCAGCCTCCCAAGGCACTGGGATTACAGGTGTAAGCCATCATGCCTGGCCCTTGTACTATTTTTATACTCGCATTTTTTCTGTAAGATTAAAATTATTTTCAAATAAAAAGTTAAAACAAAAATTATGATGTGCTGCTTTGGCATTTAATGAGACTTTGGTTTTCGTTCGGGCTGTGTTTCATAAATTCCTGGACCTGAAATGTAGGTGACTACTGCTGGAGAGACCTTTTGATCTAGAAGAAAGGGAGGGTTTGAGTTAAAATTTTGCAAAGAGGCTCTGTCTAGTCCATCATACGCAGAAATGCCATCATCATCTATCTGGGAGTAACTTGCTCTCTCTGGCCCTAATCAATACAAAAGCTAGTCCTATGGCAGATCTTAGAAGCTTAAGAGATGGTTTGACTTAGTTTTAAATATAGGCCCCCTTTTATTTTTTAGTACCCAAGACTTTTGTTTAATGAAAGTACTTCTTTATTTTTAATGTTTTCCTTTGATGTGCACTTAAAACAAATTCAGACATCAAGCGTGTGAGCTTTTTAACAGCAAAAACTTCCTAAAGTTCATAACCCCTCTTAAAAAGAAACTCTTCCATTTTTAATTATGGCAAAACGCTGTGAAACAATTTTAGGTCACAGACATTCACGTACACAATTCTAATCATGAAAGCAGTGGGTGGTTTCCCTGCTTGCCTGGTGACGCTAAAAAAGACCCTTATGAGTCCCATCAATCAAGAAGTAAAATCATTTTGGCTCTCATTATAGTTATATGAAGGAAATATTTTTATGTTTTAATTTAGAGACATGGCTCTAAATAGCACAAGGCTCAGTTAATATCCTGAAACAAGATTCTCCAACCTTGCAGATTTGTACTGGGAATGGCTTACAGCTGACTTTCTAAATAGAAAGCTACATTATTAATGACACCCCATAAGATCTCAGCTGAGCAGGAATGAGGCTGGTGCTAAAATTAAAATAAAATATTAACAAAATTGACTTCAGCACAGTCAATAATCAGTTATCAAAACCTACTGCACTGCGGTGCAGGAGGCCTATTTAATTTTTAGTTTTACTCAGTGCACACATCCATGATCACCAGGGGCCACTTGAAGTGCTTTACAGGGCCGAGGTAACAAGACTTAACCATTACTAACAGGCTTTTTGCAGCTGCCAAAGAACTCCGGATCAGAGATCGGGTCCATGAGGTATGATCGAATGATATTAGCCCGTAAACCTTTTGGTGCTTCATTGGTCATTTTCACTCCATTCTGCAGTACTGACACAGGGAAATTTGGAGATGGGTAACTCGTTAGCCACATTCGGAAATCTGGATGTGTTGACTCTGGGCTTAACTCCTGTAAGAAAATAAATCAGATACAAAAGAGTAAATAAAACCCAAAGAAAATCTCAAAAGCATACATATGAAGGATGAGTTGGAAGGGGGAGGAAGTATTTTTACAAAGTAGAAATGTAACTGCTGCAATTTTCAGCAAAAGCTTTAAAATCTGATGCTGCTCCTAAAACAATAACACCTTGTTGAGAAGGCCCAAGGTGTTGTCATTCTCCTTGGTAACATTAATTCATATGATTATAAAGTTTACAAAAGTGCTATATAATTTAGAGTTGGTTAAAATAACTAAGACGTTCCCAAAACTCTTGTATGTGCACTGATGTTGCTGAAATATTTACAGAAATAATTCTCTGCCCCAGAGCTAGATTAAAGACTAATCCATTTCTCTTGCTGTAGCCAGGTTGTGAGAATAAACAAGGCACTCAGATAAGTCAGGGACAGATTTCTCTCTTACAGGACTCTGTGATGGGTATATATGATACAATTCAACAGGTCATGAGAACAGTCTCAGTCTGGAGACAGATGAACCATAAGCAGACAGGCACAAACATAAAACCTCTGATAGGCCAGGCATGATGGCTCACGCCTGTAATCCCAGCACTTTGGGAGGCCAAGGCAGGCAGATCACCTGAGCTCAAGAGTTCGAGACCAGCCTGGCCAACATGGTGAAACGCTGTCTCTACTAAAAATACAAAAATTTAGCCGGCCATGGTGGCAGGTGCCTGTAATCCTAGCTACTCGGGAGGCGGAGGCACCAGAATCGCTTGAACCCAGGGGGCGGAGGTTGCAGTGAGCCAAGATCGTGCCACTGCACTCCAGCCCGGGTGACAGATTGAGACTTCATCTCAAAACCACAACAACAACAACAACAAACACCTCTGATATAAGGCGTGAAGTATGAGGAAATGTTGTAAGGCAAATGATAAAAAGAATAGTTTTTCAGGCAGAAATTACATCAACTATGATGACGTATACTCTTGAGAAAGTGTGCTGCACCAATAAAAGTGAAAGAAGTTCAAAAGGCTAGAGCATGGAAGTCATGATGAAAGTGGCCTGAGAAGAAACTTGAGAAGTAGGCAAAGGTCAGGTTCTGAAGAGTGCTGTAGGTCATGTTGGGGGTTTGAACTTTGTCTTGCATGCCTTGGGAGGCCATTGAAAAGTGTCAGGCAGTGAAGATATTGCTTGATTGTATCCTATGGGCCTCACTGTTCAAGGTGCTGGAGGGAAAGCAGAGAATACAACAGATAAAGACAAAGTCACTGTCTTCATGATGCTTACATTCTAGTGGGAGACACGGCCAGAACAAACTGGCGCTAAGTGACGTAAAGAAAAAACAAAGCCAGATGGGTGGATGGTGCAAGTTCTATCATCACCATGGTTATTTAGAAGGGAGTTAGGAGTGGGCTAGAGTCATGGGTAATTCCAGAGGATTCATTTTCTCTGTTTGTTGAGATCAAGTGCCAGGCTTTCTGTTTACTCAGTTGAGCTACATGGAGTTTTTTTCCTGGAATTTCTGCCAACCAGAACAGGGAAGTCCCACGACCCACTGCAAGGTGGGTGGGAACAGTGCCCTTTGGGTTTCAGATTTCTCTACTGTGGCAGGGTAACTGGCCAAGTGGGAGAGAAGTAAGTTAAAGAAAAGTGACATTCTGAAGCCTTTGAGTTGAGAGTGGCCACATGAATTTCACCTTGAACAGTCCTCCTTGGTTGCTTTAGGCCATTGTTATAAAAAGTAAGTTGATGTATATCTACCCTGTGGTTTACTCTCCTCCTTCAGCCTGCTCCTCAGGATTGAGGATATTTCCATCTCACTGGATGAGCCCTTGTCCCTGTTAAGAGGGATTTGCCCAGGCCTGGCTATGTGCTCGCCTCTGTTCCTCCAGATCTGGTTTTCAATGTGAGCCTCTCTCTCCTGCAATCCAGCCAAAGCACTAACCTGCAACGCTCCAAATTAGAGGGGAATGGAGCTACCCGAATGTTATGTATATTACTAATTAGATCCAGGGAATGCAATCTAATAAGTATAAACTTGCATTTTTACCTCACAGACTTTCTCAAGGGTTGGCATCCAAGAGGTGGCAAGGTGACAATTCTGAAGAACAACCCATGTTCCTTCCTTGACAGCTTTTTCTAACATCTTCATAGCAATGGGCCCTTGGCCTTGACCAAGAGATAAAGAGCTAAGTTTTGATCCCCCATATCCCTGTGTACAAGAATAGTAGAGATGTTATTTAAAATCACATTTTAAGAAACATCAATATTGTTTTTTTAAAAGTTAACATTGACTATATTACAACTTAATTGGGTCACATGTCTCAAAAAGCCAAACACATGCATCCCTAAAAAACTCTCTTTGACAAAGAATCTTATAAACACTTCGATAAAAAGCAAGTCAATTCACGTAGGAAATAGTCATGGCAATAAATGGAAAATTCTGTAGAGTCTTTGGTTGTTGATAGAAGGGATAGAAAGAATAAATTAAATAGACTTTTAACATAAGGAGGAGATGAAAGGCACTGGCAGTCTTGCAGCAACTCCTAAAATCCAAATCTGAAAAGAAAACTAAAAAGAGACAGATGAACTTGTCCTGTTTCCTCCATATCTTTGAATAACTATATTTTAGTTACTTTGGCTACTGTATAAAAGAGAATTTTTAAAATTGCCACTGATTCCCATGTCAGTTTCTTTAGAGAATTCTGTGGGAATGTTTTCCTATATTCAGTTTTACTGTATTCTAATTCGTCCCTGGCTTCTGGGTCTCCTTTCTGGGGTAGTTATCACTAGACTGCCCCTTTAGAAGAGGCCTGGATACGGAAGAGTGGGGTCTCAGCCCCTCCCGAATGCCCATGGCTTATTGTCACTAGCTGGTAGAGGCAGCAGAAAACAAAGTAGAGCTGGATCCTGCTGTTTCTGGAAGAAGAGGAGACAGCAAGAGAAGAGAATGCATGAGCAGGACCCACATAGGAGCCAGAGAATAATCATATGTACAGTGTGAGGAGAGATATAAAAGCAACTAGGAGGGGCTCAAAGGGTCGTCAAGCTTGTGTTGACTAGGAGGTGAGTCCTTCGTAGAAGTGAACACTTCCACCATTCCCACTCTACTCCTACCCACCATTGCTCTTCCTGGACTTTCAATAGCCAACGCCCTTACTAGGGGCCTCCTTCTATTCTGCACCACCCAAATAAATTCTTCAGGCTCCAACTAGGATGAACTTTATAAATTATAGGTCAGATCATGTCAGTTTGTTGCTTAAAACCCTACTCCTCCATCTTCCCATCTTACTCAATGTCCTTAATGTGGCCTCCAGAGACCCTACATGATCTGGTCCTTCACACATCTCAGACCTCATCTCCTCCAATCACCACAGCCACATTCCAATGCTTCTTCAACAAATAATAAGTACTATGCTAAGCTATCTATTCTTCTGCATATGAGAATTACACTCATGCAAAAATACATAATTCAAAAATCTGGAGGAAATAGGACAAGTTCACCTATTTATAGTTTTCTTTTCAGCTTTAGGTTTTAGGAGCTGCTGCAAGGCAGCCAGTCCTTTTTATTTCCTCCTTATGTTAAAAGTCTTCTTAAATTTTTTTCTATGCCTTATATCAATTTTTTTTGGCCTAGTAAATTTTTTTTAACCTCTCAGCTACATGGCCTTTGAGGAGATACTTAACCTGTCCATGCTTTAGTGTTCCTATCTGTATAATAGAGATACCACCATCTACCTTATGGAGTTGTAGAACATGTATGTAACAAGGTCTAGCAAAGTCAACAGTATACATTAAGCACTCAATACAAGTGGTGGTGGTGGCTTTAGAAATATCAGTAGCATTACCACACTGTGTTATTTTAATTGTACCAAATCGAAAAAATTCAACTCAGGAAATGCCCAATCATCTGTTTATTATTATTTTCTTGTTCTAGACCATATGATGTAAGAACATTTGTACTGAATTCATTTGAATTAATTTTTAAAGACAAGGCATGTAAATAGTAGAATTTTTTTTTTTTTTTTTTTTTCTTGAGATGGAGTCTCACTCTGTCGCCCAGGCTGGAGTGCTATGGCGTGATCTCGGCTCACTGCAAGCTCAGCCTCCTGGGTTCACGCCATTCTCCTGCCTCAGCCTCCCGAGTAGCTGGGACTACAGGCGTCTGCAACCACGCCCAGCTAATTTTTTTTTGTATTTTTAGTAGAGACGGGGTTTCACCGTGTTGGCCAGGATGGTCTCGATGTCCTGACCTCGTGATCTGCCCGCCTCGGCCTCCCAAAGTGTTGGGATTACAGGTGTGAGCCACCGTGCCTGGCCAGAACATATTTTAATCTAATACAGTGACCACAACGTACAATTGTTCTGGAAAGTCAATGAAGGCCCCCCGTTAGAGAGTGGCAGAGGGGTGGGATCAGAAAAGGTGCACCCCTGAGGTCACTGTCCAGGCTTGAATTCATTAAATCAACCCAAGTTCATACACTGGTGCAAATAATGTCAAAGAGTTTCCTGTCCCCCAACCCCAAATAAAAGTAAATGCCACTTAAATCCCAATTCTAGTTTTAATTAAATTTTAATTTGGATAAGGAGTTCTTTTTTAGTGTCAGTGCTGCCATTTTAGTATCATTTTCTTGGGATTCTGTCAACTTGTGATAACTTTCAAAGGTTGAATGACAAATTTCTACCTTTCCCTCATCCTTAAAATTTCAATTATAAGCAAGTATTGCTTTTTTAAAATAATATCCGATAACTTCATCTATTGTAAGGTACCTGGTCATCAGCAAATTTTAGAAGGGCAGCCATGGGATCTGCTCCAGGAGAGAGCACGAAAATCAGTGGTGCACAGCAGTTACTGTCTCCAAATGCCTTGGCTAAATCAAAGGGGGGTGGTTCAATGAATGCACGTCCCAATCTGTTGATTATAAATTCCTGCAACATTGGAATAACCTAGAAAGAGACAAGGATATAGTTGGAAGAATATTCAAAATCTGCCTAAAACCATTAAAAATTTAGATTCAAAGGAGTTTTAAAACAAAATACCCTAGCTCTATTAGTTTAGGTATTCATTAATGGTGGGGAGTCCAAGGCATCAATGTTTATATAAATGCCTTTTAGATAGGAAATATTATAAAATATTTAGATAATAAAAGATTAGTGGTAATTGATACAAACATTCAAAGACTTTTTTTGTCCCCTTGAAATGAATGTTCAAGGCATAGTGGCTGAAGAAGGAACCTGAACTCTTAAGTTATAAAACACTAATTATGTTTCAAAAATTCACAACTCAAAAGTAGAAATTTTAGTTTAAGTTGTGCAAAATTTCCCACATCATCCAGAAAGAATTGATGTCACTGTGGAAAAGAAGAAGGAAAGGAAGAGCTCTATTCAAGAGAAACAAGCCACACACCCAAGAAACCAGACAAAACTATGTTGTGTAGAATTTCTGATAGCATTGTCTGAGAATTTTCTGGGAGCCTGTTTGAGAAACAGCAGAACTCTGCAGCTTGGTGTCTCTGTTAATTGGTCCTTTTCAGGCCTTGATTTGGGGGTGGAATTGCATTCAGTATGACTGATGTACAGCCTCGGGTACATCATTCCTGCTTTCTGACAAAGGGTCTACACCAAGCCATTTATAAGGGATCTACTCTCATGACCCTCACACCTCCCATTAGGCCTCTCCTCCCAACACCGCCACATTTGGGACTAAATTTCAAGGTGAGCTTTGGTGGGGACAAACTCAAAGTACACCAATAATTAAACAAATTGTGTTCATCATGTTGTCCATATGTATATTTGTAGCTGCTATTTTCAAAGTGAATATAAATTCCAATCACGGCAAGTGGATGTGTGATAAAAGGTATACATTTATTACTCTAAAGTAGCTACTTTAAAGAAGTTATTTGGTATTTCAATACTCTAACATGATATTGTTAATTCGGCTTGGTTGTCTTTTATGCAAAAAAGAAAATTCAATATATAGCAAAGCAAGGAAGGCCTAAAAATGCTTCTCCCTGAACAGGGGATTAAATGCTATATTAGTAACATGTAACGGATCTTTTTCTACTTCACTTTTCAAGGGCACATCTGCAATGCTTCTGATAAAGTCAAGCAGGAGACATTGTCGCCTGGCTCCCATGTTCATGCCTCACTCACATCAAACAAATATTTTGACACCTTCATTAAGTGCGACAGAAATTGAAACAATGTTGTTAATTACTCAGCCTAAAGCTATTCTATTTTCCTGGAAAAAAATCAATTGATACCTATTTTTACTCATTAAAAAAGCCTCAAAATGAAAGGCAAAAGTAAATCTAGGAACAAAACACAGGAGAAAATAATGTGGGAGAGAAAAATCCACTCATGTTTCATGTTTCAATTTTCTCCTTTGTTTTTTCAAATCTGTACTCCCTTTACTATTATGCTTCTCTTTTCCTATATCCAGTACTTCTGTGCTGACAAAACAAATGGAATGAATTGAAGAATTAGTTGATATAAAGTCAAGACACCCTTTGGGTGTCTGCTTCCCCTTCGACCTTCTGCCATGCTGTGACATTGCACAAAAGCCCTCACCAGAAGCCAAGCAGATGCTGATGCCATGCTTCTTGCACTTTCCAGCCTGTAGAACCATGAGTTTCTAATCTCTCTTCTTTATAAGTGACGAAGCCTTAGGTTGTCTGTTACAGCAACACAGAACAGACTAAGACTATTATCTAATTTCAATTTCTCGTCTATTAACTACCAAAAGTACTTTTTTTCCTGCTCTGAAATATATATATATATATATGCACAAAATTGTCATAAATATTTGTTGTTCATTTTTTAGTCACAAATTCTTGCAAATGAATAGATTCCCCCTTCACAGAATATTGTGAACACTACCTTACAGTTTAAAATTAAACTCCTAGTAGACAAGGGGCTACAAAAGCATACCAGTTTCAGAAGAGAACAGCGATATCTCAAGAGAAGGAGTAATGGAAAGATTTTTTGAAGGCCCCAGCACCACCCCGACTGAATAGCTGCTCAGATACAAGAATGGAATTGTGTGTATATACAACACACTGCACTATGTAGACAATTCCACCAGCCTGCAACTTTTCTCAACTTGAAGCAAACTGCAGGAGCAATGTGCAGGTGCCAAGTATCTTAAAACGATGGTCTACTCTGTAAAACATTGCAAATACTTCCAAACTTCGATTTTATAGTCTATGAAACATTTATTTATACAAGATCTGTAAGTAAAAATAATTGACATGTCACAATGCCTTCTGTCAGTCCTAGTGCATGTGTGACTGAGAGACTGAGTGTGTTAGGGTGGGGAGCTGAGAGCCAATGGAGGAATATGTGTGTTAGGGATCAGATTTTTTTAATCCCTCCCAATATTTCTCTAGATTCATTCAAATATGGAAAATGTATAGGTGAGCAACAACACATTTATAAATGCCTGATAGCATGGACCTACCTATGAGGATGACATATATACTGTTTGCACAAAATAAACATCCACTGAATGACTAAATTGATAAAAAGCTCAGGATGCCTACTTTTGTGAAAGTGGGGTTCTAATTACAAAAATATTAAAAATCACAGAATAATTAATTCATCTATACATAATTAATTCACCTACACATAAAGTTTCATTTATAGATGTTATTTTATGTTTCAGGTTTTGTTTTTTGTTCTTATTTAAAATCTGTATAAATTTCAGCCAGGCGTGGTGGCTCACACCTGTGATCCCAGCACTTTGGGAGGCTGAGGTGGGTGGATCACCTGAGGGCAGGAGTTCAAGACCAGCCTGGCCAACATGGTGAAACCCTGTCTCTACTAAAAATATGGGTATGGTGGCGTGTGCCTATAATTCCAGCTACTCGAGAAGCTGAGGCACAAGAATCACTTGAACCCGGGAGGTGGAGGTTGCAATGAGTCGAGATTATGCCACTGCACTCCAGCCTAGGCAACGAGAACGAAACTCCATCTCAAAAAAATTTTTTTTAAGATTAGCTGGGCATGGTGGTGCATGTCTGTAATCTCAGCTACTCAGGAGGCCAAGACATGAGAATCACTCAAACCCAGGAGGTGGAGGTTGCACTGAGAGGAGATGGTGCCACTGCATTCCAGCCTGGGTGACAAAGAGACTGTCTCAAAACAAAAAAAACAAAATCAAAAAGGAAAAACAAAAAAAAAACAAAAATTTTGTATAAACTTATAGGGTGCAAGTGCAATTTTT
This sequence comes from Homo sapiens, assembly GCF_000001405.40. Taxonomy (NCBI): domain Eukaryota; kingdom Metazoa; phylum Chordata; class Mammalia; order Primates; family Hominidae; genus Homo; species Homo sapiens. The sequence goes on from NC_000002.12 coordinate 195,802,750, forward strand.
TACATGCATAGATTGTGTTGTGGTAAGGTCAGGGCTTTTAGGGTATCCGTTACCCAGATAATGTACATTGTACCCCTTAAGTAATCTCTGGTCATCCACCCTGCCACACCCTTCACCCTTCTGAGTCTCCTCTGTTTGTCATTCTACACTCTATATCCAGATATACACATTATTTAGCTCTCACTTATAAGTGACAACATTCAGTATTCGTCTTTCTGTGTCTGACTTATTTCACATATGATAAATGTTTCAGATATTTTGAATGGTCACAGATGTCAAACTTATTGTCAGAAGATGAAAAATATCCTAATTGTCTGTCCCAGGACTTGGCCTTACCCTTTTCTTTATTATTATTTTCCTATAGCTGGTCTTTTCTCGATAGATTTTTTAAAAATTAACAAAAAAACCCCACTTTTTCCGTAATCTCTTTCTTCCCACGGCTAACTTCATGAAATTATAGTTTTGCAAACAAAATGAAAAGAACATGGGTTTTAAGTGCATGGTTTTACTTGAAGCAAGTTTGAATTATAAATGGCCTCACTTCTGTGAGTGGTTCAAACTGGTGTCACTTTGCACAGGCAAATGGGTCTGGCAGAGTGTGATTCTTCTTTCTGTCTGCTAGCACTGGAGGATCAAGTTAGGGGTGCTCACCTGAGAGTGATCAGAGACAAATTGCAGTGTTTCACTCTTAATGTCGAAGCTGAACAAAACTTAACTTGCTCCCAAGACTGAATTGTAACTCCCGAGGTAAATGAACCTGCGTTAGCTATTCAGTTTGCAAGGCAACAGAATTGGGTTTGCCTCTTCAATCTGATTATGCCAGCGTTAGGTTTGTAAAATGAAATCTGTCAGTAACAAAACTTACAGACTAATTTAGGCAACCATTCTCCCACAGGCAGGGAAGAAGTCTGCGGTCTTCTATGTATGTTTTGCTATTTATTGCAAGTTCCTACTGGATTTATCTGAGGCCAGAGAAACATATTAACTTATATTTGACAAGTTTCTTATTGAAAGCTGATTAATTTGCTGTTTGTTTACCATTTTGAAGGACAGAACTGTGGCCAGAAGCTCTTCATTTTGTAAATGGACTCAAAACATTCCACACCTCAGTATTTATCTATTTGATATGTTTCTTTTGTCAATAAAACACTATAAACTATTAAATTCTAAAGGAAAGTGCAAGCCCATCTCATTTTTTCTACTGGTGATTTAGTGAGACTCTTACATTTTTTCAAACTGGAGCGTTAGAGGGCCTGCTATTTGTGGCTTCTTACCACTGAGTGGGGCTGGTTTTGAGGGGAGAGGGGGGGAAGGAGACCCCCCCCAAATTGTGCTCATGGAGCATACAGTAAACTAGAGAGCAATTAATTGCTGATTTTCCTGGATATCTGTGGCTATACAGATTATCTCTTAGAGGTGAAAAAGAAATAAACTCTTATAGAGTACTAGCTCAGATATTAGCCCCATTCAGCAATGCTCTTCTTCCTGGTATTCTACTACCATTCTTCTTTGGAAAATCATTCTTTTAAAAGCATAATAGCCATGTATTATTTTATCATACATAGATTCCAAAATCATAATTTCACCAATAGAAATTGGAGCACCTGGTAACAGTAAAATTAAAGGGTTTGAAGCTACTGGATAATATAACGGCATACTAACAATTATTTTTTTATTAAGGACATGAGTGTGGAGGTGTCGCTAATGGTACCTAGTTAATTGTATCACCACGATAGACTGAGTTTAGCTGTGCTGGCAAACAGTTTCCAAACTGCAGTGGCTTAACACATGAAAACTTACTTCTTGTTCCTGCAAAGTCATCTGAGTCTTAAGGCAACTGTCTCCATGCATTGGCTCAGCAGTCAAGCCTGCTTATAGTGCTTAAATAGCAGCAATATGTGATTCCACTATTTTGATGGCAGGGAGAGCACCTCAGAGAATCTGACCCTGGCAGTTAAATGCTTCTGCTCTAACACTTCTGCTCACATCTTATTGGTCAAAGTAAGATGTATGGACACAATCCTCCCACTTCAAGTGTGCACAGGAGAGAAGAACCAGAAATACTGATGAGTAGTATTGTCCACATATCTATCTATCTATCCAAGTAAAATGGGGAAACTGTAGAGGAGATTTTAAAATATATATGAAGATGATACAAGACAGAGGGCTAAAGTACTAGGCAAAGTAGCTGAAAGAAGTATAAAACCATAAATTTAACCTCCAATGATTTAAAAACAAACAAAAAACATACAAACCAACCTGTCCCCCACCAAAAAAACCCCTCAGCTTGACTATGTAACTTCCCACCTCCCTCGAATATACTTTAAAAAGAGAGTGAACGTAGAAAGAGATATATCATCTTATTGATAGCTCCATGTATTTTCAGATTAAAGTGTCAAATTTTTAAAAACATTGAACTGGGGGAAAATATTTGCAGACAAAACTGCTGCAATTAGGAAATGCCTCATTAATCACTTTTAATTAAACTTAATATAAAACACGAACTTTTTTTTTTAATATTGAGGGAGGAAGGTCAGTGGTACATCCAGAGCCATTATAATAGTTTTTATCTAGCTTAGAAAACAAAGTGAAAAACTGAAAATTTTAATAAAATGTTTTAGAGGAGGAAGCCACATTAAACAACAGTGTGAAGCATCTCATATTCTCCCATCTTTAACATATGAAGTGAAAACTTGTGAGGCTTAACACTAGCATTTTCATGGAGATTACATTTTTTAAAAGGGCTACCAAGGGGTAGGATGTCTCACCAGGGTCATAAAGAATGCTAAACTACTGTAGTTACTTCCAGCATAAGAGAGTGGGGTAGCAGAGTGACTTTCGTGGACCCAAGGTACTTCATAGGCCCCTTTCTCCTTTAAAAAAAATTAAAAATTATATTTTACCATTGTTGGTATAAAGACAAATATACACACACTGGATTATATTCTTCTGATTTTAAAAGAAACTACAACATTTTCATAGACCCCTGGAAGTATTCTGGTTCCCAAGCACTGTGCCTCCTGTGCCTAATGGATACTTGGGCCTTGGCTAAGAACAGACTGCCACATCATGCAAGAATTACATGTGTTCAGTGAACAGAGTAGGGCTCATAGAGGGAAAAATGCCCCTAACCCATATTATCACTGATGTGTATTTTTAAAAAATTAATACATTACTTTGACAATCTAAATTCTGCTTTATTTTTTTTTCTTTTGGTTAGGATGGAGATATTTCTCCTATTCCTTAACAGATGAAACTGAATATAAGTTTTGAAATATTTATGTCAAACTTTAATTTGAGTGGTAATAATGGACAACTAGGATATTTTCTCAATTTTTTCCAACATAGCTAATGTCTATTTTTTTTTTTTAGAGCACATTGATATCTTTGTGGTATCGGTCAATATTCATAGGTGAATTTTTTTATCTAATACAAATGAGGATGTTAATGAATACTGACATTTGCTAATATAACAGGTCTGCTGATTCACTGGTTATATAATTTATTATTTAAAGAAGTTAAAAGTAACAATATTGACATTTTCCTTTGTTGTCAATAATGACGAATGTCTTAAATTCAAATTCCAACAAAAAACTATATATAAGGATAGCACTTGAGAAGTCCACAGATTCTAGTCTATCAGCTTGATGTTGACATCACTGACTAATTTCACCAAAGTATTAACAGTAAAGATAAGACTACAAATATGTAAAGGGAGTAGATTGTGAGTACTGAAAACCATAAATTAAAAACAAATAATCACAAAATAAATAAAATTATACAATATAATCCAACTAGTTACTGATTTAGGATGGTTTTAGAAAAATATACAAACTTTTTGAAAAAAATGTCTGCATTAGAAAGAAGTGGGATTATTTCCCGCAGGCTCCTCTACCTCCCCCATGATTACATAAGGAAACGCACATTTGGATGGACTGAGCAGGCATAAGGCTTTGGAATCATTGAGCTGTTTTCAAAGCCCACATTTACCTTGTCTGGCCTCAAGCAACGAATAATAAGCATCCTTTGAAACTCATTTGCTTTATCTTCCCATTCTTCAGGGAAAACCTCATGGTGTGGTTCCTAAAATTACAGTGTAAATAATTCAGTTATTTTGGAGATTATAAAGAGAACAGTATTTTCACTTATAAACCAACTTTTAGAATATATAAATGAAATCAAGAATGCTTGTCTAAATTTTACTATTTAGTGTAAAGTTGGGACATTATAAAATAAATAATAATAAGAAAAGTTAATATTCTTTAAAGGAGTCAAAACAAGGACATGAACTAATCAGGTTAATGTCGACATGAACACTAATAAACAGACAAAATGATCCCTATTATGAAAAAAGTAAATGTGCATATGCTACTATTTTCCCTTTATTCCTCCAAACACAGGCATTCTTTTTTTTTTTCTTTTTTTAAGATGGAGTTTTGCTCTGTCGCCCAGGCTGGAGTACAGTGGTGTGATCTTGGCTCACTGCAACCTCTGCCTCCTGGGTTCAAGCAATTCTCCTGCCTCAGCCTCCTGAGTAACTGGGATTACAGTGGTGCACCACCATACCCAGCTAACTTTTTGTATTTTTAGTAGAGATGGGGTTTCACCATGTTGGCCAGGCTAGTCTTGAACTCCTGACCTCAAGTGATCCACCTGTCTTGGCCTCCCAAAGTGCTGGGATTACAGGTATGAGCCACTGCTCCCAGCTGGAACAAAAACATTTTTAAAAACCTACCCACTTACCTCATCATCTATTTACAAAAATAAATAAATATTTCAAAACAAGTAAAAAGGGTATTGTACTGAAATTTATTGTATTATTTCTTGTTTTTTAAAAATACTGTTTTATAAAGGAAGACTTGAGAATGTGTGTAATGAAGAAGCCAATTGAGAGCTATTAAAAAATCACAAGAAGAGAGCCATCAGGGTACCAGAAGGGGTAAACCTTGGTGGGGAAAAAAGGAAACGTGTACCTGTGAAACTTTAGGAAAAGCTATGTGGTATCTCAAATTAGAAATCTTCATGCTTCAGCATAGTAATAAAATTTTAATTTTAAATTAGTTGAGGTACTCACAACACATACTTGTCTCTAGAAAACATTTTTATTACTAACAAGGAGAAATCCAAAAGAGATCACTTCCAAATATTTGAATTCGTGTGAAGACATAATCTCATTCTCACATATAATACAACAATATAGGTTGTATAGGTAACAAAATAAAGTATAGGTTAACCAAACAAAACATACTCTCTGCATATCTAGCTTTCTTTCCTCCAACCTCTCCCTAGGAGAGCTCTTGCATATTAAACTCACAGAAAGCAGGAAGTCAAGAGAGTAGAAACAAAGGAATAGAAAAAATTAACTGGGAATTGGAAAAATATTAGCCCTTGTGTTAAAGAAAAATTGAGAGAAAGCAACAATTGCTATATATCCCAGATGGGAAACTGTGAATATTATGTCTGTGTCAAGTATAATACTCCCCAGTTAGTAAAACAAGGTCTCGTGAAAGTTGTTTTAGAACTACTGTACAAGCTTTTTCCTTTTCTCAAATGACACACACACAGAATTTTATCAGCTTGTATCCTGCATTCAGAAAATCTAAACAACAGCTGTTCCATAAACTTTAACTCATCTGCTATTAGGATTGCCAAAATCTACATTGATAATGAATAAAAATCTGGCATGGAAATTCAACAAGTATATTCTCAAGAACCACACAGCATTCTTGCATCTTAATACATTTCAAGGAGTTTGAATGGAAGTTCAAACAGAACCACTGACTTAGAAGGGGGGATAACATAAATCAAAATTTGCATTCTAACATGTGACCAGTTGTTTAAAGCTTATTTAAATCTTGCTTTTATGAAAAGATACTTAACATTCTTTTCTCCATTTAAAAACATTGGAATAAGTGAGAGGGTTAAAACATACCAAACTATCATATACTTTCTTCCATCCATCCTTTAAGCGCATAAACTCTCTACGAATGGTTTTGAAGGCAGGCAAATCATCTAATCGACATATTTCATCCCAGGATTTCTGAGGAAGCCATGTACAAAGGTTGGCATAAGGATTATCCAGTCCAATGCCACCAGTTAGCAGAAATCTCCACTCAGCTTTATTAATCTTTGGAAAACAAGGCAGCGTGAAGAGTCAGAAACGAGTTCATCATAAACTAGTAAGCTTACAACCATTATAAAAGAGTTGAGTGTTGACTTCCAAGTTTCAGATGTGGTCTCTATGAAATTCTATAGCTAGTGTTATAGCTCAATATTTATTCATAGGAAACCAGTATACTCATGATAACCAGTTTTCAAAATAGTTCCATTTCAAATAGTTACTTTTTGACAATTTTCCTCCAGAATTACTTGTCTAAATGTGAAAATCTGAATATGTTCTATTCGAATACGTGTTTTCCAAAATGACTGCCTAGAGCCCTATTGGCTCTAGAAATTGTAGAAAGGCAGAAACCCATCAATGTGCCATGTTTTTGACTATTTTCCATAAAGTATAATGAGTTACTGATACACAACTTTTGCAAGAAATGCAAGAATAAAGTATTTATTTCTTCAGAATTCAACCAATACATCACCATATAAAATCCATAAATCTTAAACACGTAAGTGTATAAAATAGTGACTTTACACAGATTTCAGTAATTTGCACAAGTCTTTAAAAACATTTACACTACTACCTGGTGTAAACGTATCAATATTAAGTAAATTTATATGCATAGCTGTATGAAAATCTAATATAATCAATTTATTTTAAAATAAAACATAATTTAATAGTAACATAATGAAATCTGTGCTTAATTTATATCTCACTTCTGTGAAATTTATCCTCCTGATAACATCTTGCCTTAACTATAATAACAAACAGTATTATTGCTTAACTATTTACAATCTTTTTATATATATTCCCATACAAATTAATAAATTAATGAATCAGCGTTATTAAGGGTTTTTTTCTTACAAATGAAAACAGTACTGACCGCCCGCTCATGCAGCAGTAGATTTATGGTTAGACAAAAGGAAAAGAGCAGCTTATCCTTTTCAAAGAGTGACCGGCAGACATTAACATACAGTGAATAAGTAAAGTGATCCTTGAGAATCTGAAGCCTAAGGGTCAACAGAAAATAAAGGAAATAAATAAAAATATACTTTAAAGATAATGCTCTTAAGAAACTTACATGTATGTTCTTCTGATAAACTTTCTGGTCAATTACCCCCCAAACAATCAAGAATCCTCATTAATTGGGTGTACCAATTTGAGAGCTACACAATGTAGAAACACTTCAGTCCAATTGCATTTTACTGTGGACTGAGTTTTTTTTTTTTAAAACTTAATCTTCCTCTTGGAAAAAAGTTAGTGGATGGTATATTAATCTGTTAGATTAAAAAGTTTACAGACTGTTTTTATCTACAAAGCATTTCTGGGGGTAAAATTTGACCTCTTTATAACAAATAATTTCAAATGTTTTATATTGTATATTAAATGAATAGTCTAAAATTAGTAGCTTCTTTATTAAATTTAGTATTGTGCTACTCATTATAAATTCATAAAAGCTGAAGAAATCACAAAACTTGGCAAACTCCATTTTTATTTGCTAGAGGCAAAACACGAAAATAGGAATAATCACAATATTTCCTTTTTATTATTTATTTATTTATTTGAGACAGGGTCTCACTCTGTCACCCAGGTTGGAGTGAGTGCAGTGATGCAATCTTGGCTCACTGCAACCTCCACCTCCCTGGCTCAAGCCATCCTCCTGCCTCAGCCTCCCAAGTAGCTGGGACTACGGGCGTGCACCACCATGCCTGGCTAATTTTGGCAATGTCCTAACTGATATTCTAAGCTGTCAATCATCCTAGCTTTTTTTTTTTTTTCCCACTTTTCCTTACGTGCCTATTTTCTTAACTATTTTATCCCCTGCAGCATTCCCATAAAGAGAATTACAACAAATTGATGTATCTTATTTTTAATTGGGAACTTCAAAAAAAAGGTTTTTGTAGAGAAAGCCTTGGCAATAGTTGCTAAAATACAGTTGAATTCTTAGAAGACTTAAAATAAACATACTATTTCTGTCCCCATTATTATGCTAATAGGTTGTCTTTTCATGCATGGCATTGAATTTGTCTCACTTGTAGCAGTACCATACAATTAATACAGGGTGACTCACATTTGGTCTTTTCAGAGTAAAACAAAATTTTCTGCACTTTAAAACAAGTCTCTTCTTGTAGACAGAAAGATTGAAGGGAAATTATAAAGGTTAATCATATTATAAGTTCAGGTTCAATCACTAGTAAAAATGGACATATAATATGATATGTTAATAACCTTTTAAGGTGAAAAAGAAGATTAAAATTATCATTCTCAATGCTGGTGAGTGATACAGTGATATAGGATCATTCATATTCCTCTGATGGAATTGTGTGTTTGAATAATCTTCCAGGAAAGGAATTTATATCAGGAATCTGCAAGAAGTGAACACCTTTGTCCTAATTTTGGGATTTCAGCCTAAGAAAATAATCAAAGATGCAGACACTTATATTTACTGCAGCATTACTTACAATATAAAAGCTGGAGACCACTTAGAAGTGTTTTTATTTATTTGTTTGTTTGACAGGGTCTCTGTCATCAAAGCTGGATTGCAGTGGTATGATCATAACTCACTGTAACCTAGAACTCCCGGGCTCAAGCAGTCCTCCCACTTCAGCCTCCCAGGTAGCTGGGACTACAAGTGCATGTCATCACGCCAGGCTAATTTTTGCATTTTTTGTAGAGACAGGGTTTTGCCATGTCACCCAGGCTGGTATCGAACCCTTGGGCTCAAGCAATCTGCCCGCCTCAGCCTCCCCGAGTGCTGGGATTACAGGTGTAAGCCACCCCACCCAGCCAAAAGTCTTATAATACAAAAATTATGGTACATTCATACAATGGTATGTATATTGTGCAACTCCTAAAACTTATGTTTCAGAAGAATACTTAATAACATGAGAGAATGGTCTTGATAGAAGTGAAAGAAAAAAAAAACTGTGTGCGTAATTATCAAATTGCCTTTGCAAAATTATGAGAGTAAGAGAAATCTGAAATAGCTGACTCCATCTTGCTTCTGGCCTCACAGGCTGGCTGTCTTGGTTCATTCCTGGGCATGGGCGAAGCTAACTTTGGAAGAAATTTAGTTTACTAGCCATGATACCAGAGGTGGTAAGATTTGCAACTTCCCCAATCACTCCTGTAAATAACATCACTATTGTAGAACCTAAGATTGACCTTTTGGGCTATCTTTTCAGGCTTTTGCATTTCTGACTATTGGATGGCCTCACCTAGACCAGCAACTCCTCTGGCAGTCCCCACCCAGAAGCAGACTCAGGGAAGACTGTTTTCCTTGCTGAGTTCCTATGATTGTGTTTCCAACCGATCAGCATGCCCTCCTCCCTAACGCCCTGCCCATCAAACTATCCTTGAAAAGCCCTAGCCTCCGAATTTTCAGGAGATTAATTTGAGTAATGACTCCATCTTCAGCATGGTGTGGCTGGCCTCACATCAGTTAAACTCTTTCTTTATCACAATGTCATGGTCTCAGTGGGTTGATTTTCTATGGGCGGCAGACAGGAAGAACCCATTGGGTGGTTACAATTACATATACATGCATATTTGTACAGCAACAGATTGATTCCAGGATATTTAACAAAACCATATCCTAGTTAGATTTGGTTTCTATATTTATGTTATTTTTGTTTTATTTTGCTTGCTACATAAAGTTATTTATTCTGTTACATAAATTCTAATGCATTAAAATCTTATAAATAACAGATGATCCAAGTTATGGCAATTGCACAGTATATACCATACTAGTCGTAACATAATACATTCTTGGTACCATATAATAATCACTACCAGAAGACAAACAAGAATGAAATACATTTATATCCCTAAATAAAAAGAAATGAGAAATAATTTTAGACCAATATTAAGATTCTAAAACAATCAGGTTGGCTAGTGTTAATAGTCACATGTTTTCTATGCTTTTGGTAGAACTATCGTCCAATAACTGCCTGAAGTCTACCAGTTATTTGATGACTATCAATGATTGGCAGAAAAACAGATCATTTCTGTGAGAACTCATTCTCTTTTTAATTTCTGATTTGGGAGCTAGCTTCTTAATTGGAAACTCTTAGTTTACTTTAACAACAAAAAAAAGATTAAATAGGACTGATCAAAGTTTCTCTCTTGGTATAATGCTTTGGAAAACTATTGGCAGTATTTACTAAAAGGGAATATAACCATGCCCTGTGGTCATCAATTTCATTCCTGGATATACACCCACCAAAGACAGATACATATCGGCACCAAAAGCCATGTACAGGAATGTTCAAGGAAGCAAAATTTCATAATAACCCCAAGTTGGAAGCTACCCAAATATCCTCAACAGTAGAATGGATAAATGATTTGTGTTACAGTATTAGGACAAGTAAAAATTGAAAATAAGAGACTCAATTCTTTATGTTGAAAATAAGGAGAGAGATTTTCCTTCCCTCCTTTTTTTCTTAATTTAGAAAACCTAAAATTATAGGTACTTCCTCCTCTCGTTGAATATAAACCCTTTTGAAAACTAGTCAGACCTTTGTCAGTTTTATGACCCAGTAATGTCTTTCTCAAAGACCCAGAAGCCATTTCTTTGAAATCTAAACATCAAGGGAGATAGCCCACTTGTCTCCAAAGTGCTGCAGAAGGGTAGGAGCCTAACTTCAGTTAAGCTTATTTCAAGTTGCAAAACTACCTCCTGTCATACAGATACGAAAAGTTTGGTTTTCCTCTGGATAAAGCCAGTTTGCTAACACAGATGGTCACTTCAATTGCCAAGTAAAGTTAGGATGAACTAAGTGTGATGTAATGGGTTTATCTGCTTCGATAATTAAGGGGGTGAGATTCCTCTCTGTCTTTGCAATCTCTTTGTGATTGTCTCTGATTATGTGTCATGTTCCGTTTAATGTTTATTCAACAATAAAACTATTTTCTTTCTCTACTGTCTTTGAGGAGAGAGTTTCTGGGTTGGGAAAAGATGTAGTTTTTAATTATACTTCCCCAACAATAGAAAACTAACAATTAAATAAGTAAGTAAAACACTGCACTAGAGAAAACAATGTGCATTAATTTCACAAGCATGACGTTGAGTGCAAGATATCAGACACAAAAAAGCAGACACTGTGTGATTTTATTTATATGAAGTTCTAAAACTGGCAAAAACTAACCTGTGGTGTTGGAAGTCAGGACAGTGGTCACCTTGGGGGAGAGGGTTAGTGATCAGGAGGGGACACTTCTGGGCTGTTGATAATGTTCTGTGTCTTGAGTTAGGTGCTGGTTACACAGGTTTGCTCACTTATGAGAATTCACTGGGCAAATACTTCTGATTTCTGCACGTTTCTTCATGTGTATTGATAACTTCAATAAAAGTTTTAAAATCTATTTTCTCTATTTACCTTTTGGTTCCAAAATTATACTTTTAGTATTACGGCAGACATACATAAGATTTTAATTGTTTTGAAATTAAAGAAGTTCAACTAAAAAGAAAAGGCCACATTTTGTTTTCTAAATTTCATCCAAATCACACATCTGGGTAAAAAGGATTTGCTTTTCCTTATATCTTAAGGGACAAAAGCACAGTAATGAAGAAACAAATTTCATACCTTGGATGAGTTCTAACTTGATATAATAGGAGACAATAAAGGACCCATCATTATTTTCAAAGCATAGGATTGTTTGAATTTTTAAAGCTTATATGAAAAATGTCTTTAAATGGCAGACCAAAGAAATTTTCTTCTCTAGACTCCAGAAAATACCTTGATTTTAAGCTAATTAACAGATTAACATTCTAGTGGTTATTGTTATAAGCAAGGTAGAAATTAAGACCAGTAGTGAAAAGCAGAGCATTATTTATTGTGTGGCTATAATGTGATTAGCACTGTCGTAACTACTGGGAATAATTTTTTTTTTTCTTTTGGAGATGGGGTCTCACTCCCACTGCCCAGGCTGAAGTGTGGTGGCACAATCACGACTCACTGCGGCCTCAACCTCCTGGGCTCAAGTAATCCTCCCACCTCAGCCTCCCCAGTAGCTGGGACTACAAGCCCACACCACCGTGCCCAGCTAAATTTTTGTATTTTTTGTAGAGATGGGGTTTTGCCATGTTGTCCAGGCTGGTCTCAAACTCCTGGACTCATGCAAGCTGCTCATCTTGGCCTCCCAAAGTGCTGGGCTTACAGGTGTGAGCCACTGTGCCCAGGCTGGGGATAATTTTTTTTTTTTAATTCTTGTCCCACGGAACTCAGAATCTAGTATGAAAACCAGACATGCATGTTTAATTAACTAACTTATAATGCAAATAGCTGGGAACTTTTCTAAGAAAGATCACTTAAAATTTTGTTTTATTTCTGTAATCCTTGCTAAACTTGAAAATTTCAGAACTGGAAGAAATAAACTAAACATTTTCAAATATCATAAAGATGAATAAACTCTATCATTACGCAATGCATTTCTTCCAAAAAAAATTACCTACTCCCTCTCTTTCTCAATGGCAGATATCTATATATCTATATATATTTTTGGCCAAGCTCAAAGTGTCGGACTCACACCTTTATTAGTCTCATATTCAAACTTGTAAAATAATAAATCTTACTAACAAAAAATTGCTAAGTCTAAGAACACTCAAAATTTTAGACCTCTACTATGATAAAGGAATTAAATTCAGATTTTAGTGAGATTAACATTTTGGATTTCTAAAAATAATTCTTAGCTGTGAGTGATAAAAATTAAATTGAGTTTCCCTTGTGGGTCTGAACAGTCAAGAAACTGAAGTATTTAGGTTCATACTGATCAAGAAGGTTATAAAAGGCAAAAGTTGTTATTAATTACTTTCTTTTTTCAAAAAGTAACTACACATTAAACTCTATTAAAAACATGTCTTGGCCGGGCATGGTGGCTCACGCCTGTAATCCCAGCATTTTGGGAGGCCGAGGCAGGTGGATCATGAGGTCAGGAGATCAAGACCATCCTGGCTGACATGGTGAAACCCTGTCTCTACTAAAAATTAGCCGGGCATGGTGGTGGGTGCCTGTAGTCCCAGCTACTCAGGAGGCTGAGGCAGGAGAATGGTGTGAACCCGGGAGGCGGAGTTTGCGTGAGCCGAGATTGCGCCACTGCACTCCTGCCTGGGCGACAGAGTGAGCCTCCGTCTCAAAACAAAACAAAACAAAACAAAAACATGTCTTAATACCAAACTGAAAATTATCTAACTGATTTTAAAAAATCAAATGAAATTTAATTCTCTTGTAGATTTAAGTCAGGTCTTAATTCCATTACTTATTGTAATAGCCAACAGTAATATAAAGTATTTTATGTAAATAAGAATAATAGAAAAGAAGATCTATTACCACAAATAATCGCAACAAGGCTTGGGATTTTTTTACCCTAGCATTTGACAAATTTTACAGATGTGTATATTAAACTGTGAATTTGCAACTTTTAGAATGCCAGTTCGTACAGGAGTCATATTTTAAAAATTATTAACTACTCTTTCTACACTTCCATTCATAAATATATTTTGCAGATGAAAAATAAGGTAAACGTTTTCTCTTTCTAGAATTACATTATAATTCTAGATCTCTGTAAACAGTTTCTTGGCAGATTGAATTTGGACACATCTGTTCAATTTCTAACCCCCATATTTACTTCTGATACGATGATTAATCAAGTTCATTTTAGGTAAGTGGCTGTAATGCTTGTACCACTCTGAGACAACAATAGAGGTCACAAATTACTCTCTGATTTCATGCATTAATTAGTTAATATTAACTAGTATTTCCTTTACATACCTTTTTGCCAAAATTTCTGATTTCTCTGAATTTTCAATAGACAGGATGAAAAGGTTAATAAACCAGGTCAGTGAATACTGGTACATGGGCTCAATGTTGGCTAAATCAGCAAGAGAAAAAAATAGGATGGAAGAATGGATGGCAATAGGACGATAGCCCATGCGGGTGGTGTCAATCTTTTTCTCTGTCTCTTCGGCTACTTCCTGCTTCTGAGAAATCTCATTAGCCAAGGCCTTGGAGGAAGATAATATCTTAATAGCAGTTTCATCTTCTAATATATTGCCTTCCGAAGATGAAAGAACTTCTAAAATCTTGTCTTCTATTTCTTTTAACTGCCTGGAATAAAACAAAATTTTCTTAGAAGAAAAAGAAGTCATTTAAAATCATTTCACGTATATGTTCTTTTATAAGAAACAAAGAACTTGTAACCTAAAGAAATGCATCACTTTGTGACAAATATCTGTAATGGTGATGCCTTATAATTAATTTCTTATCTCGTAAAATGTCACAAAGATGGGCCTTTCTGCTCCAGTTCCCTTTTTAATGATCATTTATGGGCTAACTAGAGAGAAATACGGCAAGCCAATTTACTCTGCCATCAAGGATCTCAGCTCAGAGTGAATAGAAAGTAGCACTCCATTTATTTTCTGAAATGTTACATGACTTATACAGCTTTACTCTTTCTACCTATGATACAGATGTTATGAGCAGAAAGTGGGATGCAACATATTCATTCATACCATGCTCCAGTAAAAACAGCTTACCTCAGTTACACAGTGAATACCAAAACTCTTGTGCTAAAACTTTGTGGAATATTTGAAAATACCCTGCCCTGACTTCTGGCAGGCCTTCTAGCTCTTCCAGTGCCTAAGAACTTGCATGTAAAAATATACTCAGTAACGCAGTTTTCTAAATTGACATAGAGGTATAATTCCTTACATTTTCCTGTTATATTTTCCCTTGCAGTATTCCTATTAAATCTAACAAAAGAGATCTGTAAAATGTATTTTAATTCATTCTAGTGATCTAGAAACAAATAAGAATAGTTCTGTTTATGACATTTAAAACCTTTTATTTTCAGCTCCTTGTAATATCAAGGCTTGCTTTTCTTCTTCAAGGTCTGGCCTTTCTTGTGCCACCACAATTCCCAGAAGCTGATCTTGCATTCCCTCAGGGGTTATCATGAAGTTTAATAATGTTACCTATAAATGAAAAAATATACAAAAATTACATCATTATTTCTGTTAAAAAGTCTCTGCTTTTATGTGTCAAGTTCTGCCCTTAAAATAGACTCTATTTACTATATATGGTAGTACTTGTGAAGGTGTAATTTGTAGAGACTATGATTAACGACATAGGCAAATATGATTGTTGGATTTAAAACCCACCTCAGTTTCTCATAGTCAAAAATCTAATACCTCAAAGGGTTTGTTTGGTGATCAACTTATTCTCATTTCAAACTAGTCCAATTTCTGAGAACTCTTTAACAGCAAAATTCATTAGAATCAGGTTGGAAGCTATCTTTCATTTCAGTTGATCAGAGCATGGTATAATATATGGTTCAAAGCCTGGCTCTAGAATCATAATAGTTGGACCAGCTGATTTACATTTTAAGGATTCTAGTGGTGTCAAAAGTAAAGGAAATCTTACAAAGTGAGATAAGAGAAAAGGGAACACTGTAGTTACTTGTCATGAGTGAAGTATTTTTACAATCTGATAATCAGCCACTATTGTGAACTAAGGAATTTACATTTTCATGGTGTCCATCAAGACTGTCTGCTAACACCTGCTTCATCTGGGGACCTAATTGCTCTTACAGGCAGGTCTCTCTTCATTGTCCACATCTCCTGTTTCTTTCCCATAAGCATGCAAACATGCTGAGGACTCTTTTTTTAAAAAAAGCAAACAACAAACAAATCATTCTATTGCTCCCACAATCCTTTCCAGCTATGGAATAACCTCTCTTTGGGCTTTCGAAACGACACTTATTGAAAATGTTATTTATATATATTTTCTGCCTCCACTTTATTTCATGATACAGCCCTTTACAATCTGCTCCCTGCCCTGCCTCTGCACACTCATCCACACACACTGCTATAAACCATAGTAACTTCCTGGCTCTGGTCACCAATGAACCCGTAAGTCAATAAACACTGTCTTGACCTTGGCTTCATTTGAAATCCTCACTTTTTTTTTCATGTATACTGCAGTCTGCCTGACCTAATGTCTTGAATCACATCTATGTCTTTTTTTAATAATAAAGATGGCTCTTTATTATCACCATGTATCACCAATCTTTTTAATTTTTAATTTTTATGGATACATAACAGTTGTATACATTGCACCTATGTCTTAAGCATCACCTCCCACTACTCCCATTCACATGCCTTTCATTTTCCTGCAAGGAACTGATTGTGGAATCCCATACACACTATCTATGAAATGCCTCCATGTGCTTCAGTGTTTGCTCTACGCCCTTCCCCTTGTTATCCACCAGATTAGCTCCTATTCATCTGTCAGTGTGCAGATCAAGTGTCAGCTCCTCTTGGACACTTTCCCATACAATGTGTTCTACCCAAATCACTACCCCAAGCTACTTTCTGCACTTCCTCATAGGGGTCTTAACTCATTACAGCACATATTACACTGTATGCAATCATGGGCATATATACCTCTCTCCCAGACCAGAATGAAAGTAACTTTAGCACAGGGGTCGTCTCTTATTTGACTTCATGGTTGTATTGTTCAGCACAAAGTCATGCTCCCTACAAACTTATTGAATGAACAATCAGAATGCCCACATTCCCTGTTCATAGAGTTGCTCTCTGCTACTTCTATTTCCTAAAATTTTAGTCACTTGATGATTCTTCCCAAAGGCATTTTATATAAAATAATAGCTACCATGAATCAGGCTCTATGATATAAAGAAGAGTAAGATACAGTCTGGTCCCTGCCCTCAAAAAGTTTTCATCTAGTTGAGCAAACAGAGGAACAAAGAACATACATTGGGATAAGGACTCTGAGAGTGGACAGCTTGCAATGCTACAGGAGCACAGAGGGCACCCAACCCAGCTCAGGGAGGCAAAAAGGACTTCCCCCAAGCAAAGGACACCTGAGCTAAAACTTAAGCGTGATCAGCAGTTAGTCAAGAGAAAGAAGAGGGCAACATTCTACAGGGCAGAAAGTTTCAACCTTGGATGCTGATTGGAATATACTGTGAAATTTAAAAACCAGTAGTGTCTGGGTCTTATGTCCAGAGAGTTTGGTTTAATTGGTCTAGAGTGTGGCCTGAGTATTTGGAGTTTTAAAAGCTCTCCAGGTGACTTCAATGTTCAGCCAGGATTGAGAACAATTGCTCTTGGCAAACGAAACAGCATAGACAAAGCAGCAGAGAAAGCAAAGCACGTTTAGAGGAATCTATTCTACCACTGGAGAGTGTGCAGGTATGACCCAAGGAGCACTCTTCGTCTACTACCTATAATTGAAGGCAAACATTTTCTACCACATGTATCAGAATTCAATGTGTGCAGTCGGCAATATTAGAAATACTTGTTTTTTAACACAGGAACAGAAAACCAAACACCGCATGTTCTCACTCGTAAGTGGGAGTTGAACAATGAGAATACATGGACACAGGGAGGGGGACATCACACACTGGGGCCTGTTGGGGGGTATGAGGCAAGGGGAGGGAGAGCATTAGGACAAATACCTAATGCATATGGGGCTTAAAACCTAGATGACGAGTTGATAGGTGCAGAAAACCATCATAGTATATGTATACCTATGTAACAAACCTGCACGCTCTGCACATGTATCCCAGAACTTAAAGTAAAATTAAAAAAAAAAAAAAGAAATACTTGTTTTTTTACCCTTGAAAATGCTACAAAAATTTCAGCAACTACCACAAATCATCAGAGGTGACTCAGTGTTTGCTCCTGATTTCATCATTTCCCTAATGAAAGGAGGTTCCTTAATAGAAAGTACTTTCCCAAACCCAGATAACACCACTGCATTCTATATGTTAGTGACAATTTTGTCCAAAACTTTTAAACACATTTTCGATCACAACTTAACCTAAATTGTAGCAGCTAAAAAATGCCATTTTGGCATACCGAAATCTGAGGGTTTTTTTAAATTAGAATTTTAATTCGAATCATAAAACATGTGAACTAGGAGAGAAGAAACAACCCCATGGGCAAACTACCTACATGTAGCAGATTATAATCAACCAAACCCAATACAGGCAGCTTATTCAAAAGATTTATTTGCAAAGCAAAAGCGTTGTTCTTGTTTTTATGTTTTATTCCTCTCAAGGCTCTGCTAGTCTATGAAGTACCTTGTGTGGATTAGAAAAAGATGTTGTCTGCATGCAGAATCAGCCCCGCACCAGGCCAATGCCTAAGCAACTTGGGGCTAGATTTCAGCCCTCTTCAACTCCACCTTTGTTTTATGTACAGACTGCACAACTATAGAAGGAGCCATCACTCTCCCTCCTAAAGACAAGCAGTGTTTTACCCAACTGGTGGGAAGGTTAAAAAAAAAAAAAAGAAGAAGAAGAAGAGTCAAAAATGTTATTTTTCTAATCTTAATGACTTTTTTAAAGCACCTTTGGAGGTTTTGCCTGATTTATAAATTGTTTGCATTGCCAAGGCTCAAAGGTTTTCCTTTTTTACAAACTAAAAATAGGTAATGCTGTTACTGAGGTTGCTGTTCTCTCTACTTTTGGTTTTTGTCTTTTCATCTGTTGTTTCCTGGTGGGCAGGTCTTTGCAAACCTACCCCTGAAATCAGCAGAAGCTGAGGCTGAAGAAAGAGGCTGACATATCTAACTTCTTAGAAAGAAACATCTAATAGGGACTTAACAAACATAAGCCATGTCTGTGTCCTGGGTGGCAGGGAGACAAGTCGGTGGATCCCTGTGCCATTACCCACAAGACCCAGGGCTCATATATCACAGGAGAAACGATTTAGAAGAGATGTGTAGAATAATTGAAGGTTGTTTGACCGAAGAGCAGAACGTATGGTAAGTACCTGCTCTTACAGGAGGCACAGTAGATAAACTGGAAATCTTAGACCTTTCCCGGAACAGAGGTAAATCAGAAGCCAACTTGGTGGATTAGCATCCAAGATGGAGTTGCTTTAGCCTCCACATCTCTGTATTCCCAGCTCCTGCTACTGGGTGGGAGATATCGTGTTTCCCTGCTTTTACTTATAAGAAAATATTTCCTCTGCAGGGACAGAGTAATTTTATTTTTGTAAGAAAATGTCCTGCCTGTGGCCAATAAGTGTAAAACAGCTTCTTGCAAAACCCCTAGGAAGATGATTCCCTCCTTCCGCCCACACCTAGGCACCTCCTCAGTGGGGTATTATCTGGGTTAAAAACTTTTCCCCCACTTGTCCCATGGCAGACCATGGAGGCCACTAACTATAGACTACATAGATATAATCATAAATTTATATGAGATAAGCAATTTTTAAAATTGAGCAATTTGGAAAACTCATTAAATGTTATGTAATTCTCTACTGCTTTGCCATTTATTCATGGAAAAAGTATAAAGCTTTGAAGATATTTTCCCTATTGGCATGAGAAACCAAGTCCACAGGCTACATTTGCTTTAATCCAAAAACCATAGGCACAGTGGTAGCAAAATGCATGTTTTGCAACTTTTACTTCACTGTGTTCAGACACAAGGAAGTATCCATTCATATTCCATTAATGTTGGGTCCTTTCACATCAAGACTTTTCAAATCAAGCCATTTATTCTCAAATAAACATTTAAGAACATAAACTATGGTTTCATAATTTTATTTTCATTTAGACTCAAAAGGATTATACCAGCACGACACCATCCCTTGGGTGCTTTTGAAAGCAAAAGGTACATAAAAGATCCTAAAAGTGGGATCCAGAGGAAGTATTATAATTTGTAAATGAAAGCAAGTAACTGCCTCACTATGTTTTCTAATCCCTGTTTAATCAATCCCAGCAATTAAAAATAATAAAGCAATAAGACACTCTAGGGATCTTAAGGGTTTTGATACTGAATCATAGGTCAGTTTCCTCCCCACAGCACTTTATGACTCCTACCATAACCAGTTATTAGTGAACTAAAAATTGTTTATGTTATGTGCGATAGTTCCACGTATTTTACTGAACAGTAAAAAAGGTTTTCCATGTCATTTACTTAAACATTTTTCTCTAACACAGCTCTGGGATTTTATCATTTCCTTTTTGCTTCCTTCTTTTTCACTTATATTTAAATGTTAAATAATATTGCTAATAAGTAACACTCATAGTAATACTATCTATTGGCTTTATTCTAAGCATCTTATGCAGATTAATTTATTTAATTCACATCACTCTATGAGATAGATACTTTTATTATTCTCATTTGACAGATGAGAGAATTGAGGCACAGAGAGGTTACATGAAATGTCCCAAATCGCACACCTGGCAAGTAGCACCCCAATCTATGGCCTTAACTACTACTGGATATTCCCTTCCCTAGCAGGTAAATACATAGTAGACATTTGAAAGTGTTTAAATAATATTGGATTTTAATTAATTAAAAATAGCCAAGAATTTCCATGTTTTAACATTCTGTTTTTAAAATTAAGTTCAAGGGTCACTCCATTTTCCCCTAGTCTTCCTGACATCCCTGAATGTCCACCCTAAGTATATCCTCAACTCTGAGCTCCCAGGACACATTGCAGCTCCGCTGTGTCTTCCTAGTCACACAATTCGGTCACTTTGCATACACATTATTTATAAGATAGACCTCTGGAGAGCAGGGATCATGTTTATTCATCTTGGAGGGAATAAATTACACCATCTCGATCTTTTCTCTGCCTCTCTGCAGAGAGATGCCTATGTTAATTTAAATATTTCCAATACAGGCAAGTATTTGAATTCACTATATAACTCTTGCCTCTCTATATAACTTTCAAAATCTAAATAAGCTTCTTAATGTCTTCTCCTGCTTGCCTCTGTAAATGAAAGCAATCCTTCACTCACTCATTCACTCACTCCACAAACATTTAATGAATGCCAACCAAGGCTAAGAAGTAGGACTAAAAACAGAATAAGGTGTAGGCCATAAACCTAGGAGCTCAGCTGCAGATCAACATCTCAGGACATTTTAGTCACTGACTAAAAAACTTTAAGCTCAATTTACTCTTTAAAGGAATTTTTAGTATTCTAAAAGAAGTGATTGAAAACAGTTCTTTTAAGTAATTACATAAAATCAGACAGCAGCAACCTTAGTCTGAGAAAGAAGAATGGAGTTCTGTTTCTGAATTTCAATTTCAATAATTAGCATATAATCATTTATTACAAAGAAAGAATGTGGGCATATATCTTCTATTTTTAACAATGAAAATCTAAGAATCATATCAATTGTAGAAATTTGATTCTGATGACCTTTTTTCACAGCATGCTGAAGTTTCCTTTATTACTTACATGTACTCACCAATGCAACATTTGGAAATTATTATAGCAATAATTTTAGGAAATACCAAAATAAGGCAAAATCCGTTTTTCTTAGGAAGACTTGTTCTTCTTATGACTCAGGAGGAATATATAGTCACTAATTACAAAATCTGATAAAGAAACATTCATTTTATATACTGGCCTTTACTGATGTTTCAGGAAGATAATGAGGATTTCTTAACTTGGTAGTAATATAGAAGCGGAAGTCAGGTGCATATTCAATTGTGGAGTCCCCAAGCCGGATACATGTACTCCCACCCTGCTTAAAGGTTTGTTTTAGTAGAAGAGGTTCCAAAATAGGATCTAGTTCTTCGCCAACATTTTCTAGCAACACTGGAGTAAAATCAGAAAAGATTTCATGTTATTTTAAATATTGACTATAAATATTATAAATATTCAACCCTCCAAGTTCTTTCAGCCTTATAGATAAATTCTGTTCCTAGATACCTACAAAATTACTTTTGTCTTCTGAAAAGTATAAAGAAATAATGCCATAAAAATAGCTACATTCTGTGGGAAGGACTTAAGTGGTGGGTCTACCTAGTCATCCTGCCTGCTTCCCTTCTCCTGAGTCATAGTCCTGCTGGGTGCATGCTGCCTGGCCTGGGGTTCACCAGGCGCCCAGGTATTATGGCAGTGAAGTTTATCCATCTGAGACACCAGAGAAAAGGCATTTCCAGTTGTAGTTATTTAAATTGTTACCGTATTTTTAATTATTAAAAATGCTTATTGTAGAACATCTGCAAAGTACAGGAAGAAAGGTATAAATAAGAAATGGAAAACTGCTCCTAATTAGATTTGCTTAATTACTCTCTCTACTTCTCCCTAATATTTTAATAATTGACTCACACAGTATATAGATTGATAGAAAAATGACACAAAGGCCAGGCACAGTGGCTCATGCCTGTAATTCCAGCACTTTGAGAGGACGAGGCAGGAGGATTGCTTGAGTCCAGGAGTTCAAGACCAGCCTAGGCAACATGGCGAGCTCCTGTCTCTACAAAGAAAACACAAGAATTAGCCAGGTGGCAGCTACTTGGGAGGCTGAGCTGGGAGGATTGTATGAGCCTGGGAGGCCAAGGCTGCAGTGAGCCATGATCAAGCTACTGCCCTCCAGCTTGGGCCACAGAGCAATATCCTGTCTCAAACATAAATAAGGAAAAAAAAAAAGAAAAATGACACAAACTACATATAGTATAACTGTTGAATAAATTGTTATCTCTCTAGTGTTATTTATCTTTCTCCACACATAGTTGAGACTAAACAACACATTGAATTTTGCATGCTAATTATTTTTTTGACTTAACAGCATAAATGTTTCCCCATGTTATTGAAAACTCTAATAAGCATGCTTTTAATCACTGCATAATAGTGTATCATATTAGTGTTCTCTTTTTTAAACCAGTATTCAATTATTAGATATTTGGATTGTTTCTTGTTCTGAATATTATAACAAACACTGTATTAAAAAAAACTGCATTTCAGAATATTTTCCTCTGATAGCATTCTAGAACAGGAATCCCTGGATCAAAGATCAGTGACATTGTTAAGGCTATTGATATCTTTGCTGAGTAAAGTCTTACATTTTGGTGTTTGGGATGCTATCATAGCCAAATTTGGATGATGGCATTTTGTAGAAGTCCCTCAAAGGATGGGTGTACAATCTGGATGGGAAGGAAGGGGCTCAGGGTGCTGGGGTGACAGGTATTTGGATCTCAATTGCCATGAAAGTGCAGACATATTTTCTCCTTCCCACAGGTTACTCCTGGCTAAATGAATTCCTAAAATTGTCTTCTTGGTGATTTGCTCCATTGCTGAGATCTCAGCCAACAGCCTGTCAGATTATTTTTGAACTCATTTTTATTTTCTACTTGCATAAAATGATTATTTTTCATGGTTAAATAATATGAATGCATCATAATGTATTAAATATGTTAATTTTCTGTTGTTTAGATTGCTTCTACTTTTATACTATTATTAATAATGCCACAGTGAACATCTTTATGAATGAACCTTTGTGTTCATCTCTAATTACTTAATCAGGCTGGAGCCCTAGAAGTAGAATTAATGGTCAACAGTTATTAACATTTTAAAAGCTATTTATATTCCAAGTTACTTTCCTGAAAAGCTGTAGAGATTTCAGAGTTGCAATGAGCACTCATTTTGTCATTTGTTTTTAAACCTATTTTTACAAAATATCACTGTATTTACAAATGCTGGACACCATGCTGGCACTGTATTTTCTTGTCATGCTCATAACTGTAAAAAGTATGTTTTGCAGATGAAATAGGACAGGCAATCAAAATAAATCAAAATAAATTTTTCAGTTAAATCAGCTAGTAAATGACAAAGCAAAGCAGGGACATGAACCTGGCTGTCTGGCTCCTTCGTCGCTCTCTTAACCACTATACCATACTGTCAGCATTCAATAATGTATCTGTGACTTTTATTATTTGATAGATAAAAAATACTGTTAAAATTTATATTTTTGGCAGGGTGTTTTTAGCTGTTCTTTGGTTAACTATATATTTTTTTCTGGAAACTGTATACTAACATACTTGACCATCTTTTCATTGTAGGATATATTATTTACAATTAGGTTCAGTGACAACCGTCAGAAAACCCAAAATAATAGCAACGACAAGGAGAAATTTATGTCTCATGTACAGGAGAGCCCAAGATAGTCAGCTCAAGGCTGAAAGGACAGTGTATCTAAATAGTGAGGGATCCAAGATCCTGCCATCTTGCAGCTTTACTATTTTTGGCAAATGGCTTTGATCTCTTTGGCCAATATGGCCTTTTATACCACATCCACATTCCAACCATTAGAAAAAAAAAAGAAGAAATATCCTTTAAGGGTGTTTCCTGGCAGTCACAAATGGTACTTCCACTCTCGTCTTGTTGGCCAGAATACAGTAATTTGAGCAAACCCAACCATAGTCATATGGCCATATATAACCACAACAGAGGTTAGAAAATACAGTTCTTTACCCTGGATGCAATGTGCCCATGTAACACAGGGGTGCTGATACTAAAGAGAAAGGTGAGTGGATGGCAGGAACAACCAGCACTCATTGCCACATGTGCTAATTTAAAAACTTTATCTGTATTTTTAAACATTGTTTTAGCAAATATTTCCCCCAGTTTTCAACTTGTTCTTATTTAATTAATTAATTTATTTGAGATGGGGTCTCACTCTGTTGCCCAGGCTGGAGTGCAGTGTGGCACAATCTCAGCTCACTGCAACCTCCATCTCCTGGGCTCAGGCCATCTTCCCACCTCAGCCTCCTGGGTAGCTGGGACTACAGGTGGGTACCATCACACCCAGCTAATTTTTTGTGTTTTTGGTAAAGACAGGGCTTCACCATGTTGTTGCCCAGGCTGCTCTTAAACTCCTGAGCTCAAGCAATCCACCCACCCCAGCCTCCCAAAATGCTGGGATTACAGGTGTGAACTACTGCCTCCAGCCTATTTTATTTTATTTTTTGAGACAGCGTCTAGCTGTGTCTCCCAGGCTGGAGTGCAGTGGTGTGATCACAGTTCACTCTAGCCTCAACCTCCAGGCTCAGGCAATCCTCCCACCTCAACCTCACATAGGTGGAACTATAGGCATGGACCACCAGGCTCAGCTAATTTTTTTTTTTTTCAGAGATGGGGTCTTGCTACATTGCCCAGACTGGTCTCAAACTCCTGGGCTCAACCAATCCTCTTACCTCAGACTCCCAAAGTGCTACGATTACAGGAATGAGCCACTGTACCCGACCTTCCACTTGTTTTTATATTTGCCTGTATTTCTTCTTATAATTTAACTTTTTGTTGTAGAAATTTTCAAGGCTTTCTCAAAATAAAGAGAATAGTATATAATTGGTACTTGATATAACTACCAATCATCCTGCTTTAGGCATTGTAAATTCGGCCAATCTAGTTTCATCCATTCCTTATCTAACCTGGATTATTTATAAACAAATCCTAGACATCATAAAACTTCAGCTGCAAGTATCTCTTGGAGATAAGAACTGTTTAAAAATTGACGCATCTTAAAAAATTAATAATTCACAGTTTTGTCAAGTATCAAGACAGAAAATATAATTCCCCATTGTCTTAAGGTATTTGGCTTATAGTGTTACGGCTTAAATTAGGATACAAATAAGTTTCATAGGTTGAAACTTTCTTTTCAAATATTTCTGCCAGGCCGGGCACAGTGGCTCATGCCTGTAATCCCAGCATTTTGGGAGGCCGAGGCGGGCGGATCATGAGGTCAGGACATCGAGACCATCCTGGCTAACACAGTGAAACCCTGTCTCTACTAAAAATACAAAAAAATTAGCCAGGTGTGGTGGCTGGCGCCTGTAGTCCCAGCTACTCGGGAGGCTGAGGCAGGAAAACAGCGTGAACCCAGGAGGCAGAGCTTGCAGTGAGCCGAGATCTTGACACTGTACTCCAGCCTGGGCGACAGAGCAAGACTCCATCTCAAAAATAACATATATATATATATATATTTTTTTTTTTTTTTTCTATTGCATATTTGCTTAGGACATCCTTTCCCATCAAAGGACTATGTTTCCTTTTAGCATTTGTCTTTTTTTCTTTCGTATTTAATTTTTAAACTCATCTGGAACATATTTTGGTGTGAAGTGAGACTCTGACCTAAAATATTTTTCCACAAAGCCAATTTTCCTAATACCACTTGCTGGTGTGATGTATCATTTTTCTGTTGGTTATAAGGTTTAATTTATAGTGCATCAAAGCCTTACATATATTAGGGTTCATTCCAGAGCTTATTCCAGTTAACTCCAAACTTACTCTTTTGAATGTTTTGTGGCTTACTACTCTCTTTTCTTCTAGGTTAAGTATTGTTTTCTAAACATTTATTTCTGAAAGTTTACATCTTTACAACTTTCAGTTTTCCTGTCAGAGAAAAAGAGCTGTCGTACTTAAGCCTTCTCTGGTTTTTCTGAAAAGTTTGTCTTTTTCTCACTTTTTATTGTTAAAATTACTCTAGGTTGTTATTTTGTTGTTTTGTTTTGCTTTGCTTTCTATTCACTGGTTGACTATAATAACTACCAAAATAGGTGGTTCTCAGTTGTCACTGATTTAATATTCTTTTTGGAATATATCTCTTCCACTGAATTTTTAAATTCTGATACCTTTCAGTTAATTATCTTTAGTTGTCTAGATGAGGTATATTGTTTATAAATATGATAATTTTGTTTCCTTTCTTTTTTTGTTTTTGTTCAGTATATGTGGCCCTACTATATCAATTGTTTCTTCCTTTAAATGTTATAGCACCTTCATTGTTTCTTGTTTTATGGCACTGAAAACAACTTTCCTAACAATGTTAAACAATAACAGTCATAACAGATATCAATTTCTCATTTTCACTTTTACATGATCATATTTTTAAAATCTAATTTGCTCAACCATTTTGAACCAAAATTCTGTTTAAGGAAGATTATAACGTTTCAGTTTCTCTTACTGCCTCAACATTTATCAATATTAATTTTTTACATAAAATCTGATATTTAATGTTGGCTAAAAGTAACTATATATTTTCATCCCCTACTCACCCTAACATTTTTCTTAGTTTTGAAATGTAATTAAGAGTGTCTATATTAATATATGTAAAAATCATTTTTGAAGCTAAAATATACATTATGAAACTTAAATATTACAGACTTGATTCTTTTCCCCCAATTTTGAAAAATTTATTGTCTTATTGCTAGAATCAAGTCTTAATCCTGTTAGGAAAGATATTTGTAGTGTCTTGATTTCAAAGAAATATATCCTTAGTACTGAATATTTATTATATTATGCGTCTCACCGGAAAATTTTAAATTTTTTAAAAATTTAAAGCATTTTGAATTTTAAAAAAAGGAAAAAATGTATAGGTACATGAATTACCCAGGATGCTCTCTTTAATTTCGTTATTTTATTTTGACTCCTTTAACTTTTAATTAGATCAAAATATATACCATGTTAAAGTAATAGGAGCAAATTCAAGAGACAGACTTCTCTTCATGTTTCTATCATCAAGATTAACAATTTGCTGGTTTATGTTAAAACCTCATTTCTCATTCTCAAGCACCAGACATCACAGTATTTGCAAAGCTTATGGGAAATCAAGACTAGGAATCCAAGCACACAGCCACTAATACTTTTGAGTAAGGCAGATCATCATCTCACTCAAAACAAACAGTTATCCTTAGCAACAGAAACATAATGAGAATTAAATGTTCTTTTCAAATTTCTCTTGCATGTAGGACATTAAATAATGTGGTTTTTAAGTTATGAATTATCTATATTATCCCATGTGAGACTTCAAATTAATAGAAAAAAATCTTCTTCTACAACTTATGTTCAACTCTGTAGCATATTTTATCAAAAATAGACTCAACAGTTACTCAGCACCTATCAGGTGCCCTTAAGCAGCTTGTAGAAGAGAAACAAACGGTTATGCACATAAAATAAGGGCAATCATGGAAATTCATGAAAGTTTCAGTGTTGGTACTTCATTGAAGGGGTCGAGATGTCACAGAAAAAGAGGTATTTGAGCTGTATCTTAAAGGATGGAATTTAAAGGAATCCACCAGATGGATGGAAGAGCAAAAACAAGCTAAGAGATTGAAACAATGCCATGTTGTTTCAGTGCTGGCTGCTCCCAAGTACCCTGCACTCCCATCTTCTAAATCCTCATTTTGTCTGTAATCTCTTTCTGCCCCTTTAACCTATAAGCTTCATGAAACTAAAGACTGAGTCTGTCTTATTCATGTTGTTTTTAGTGCCTACCACACTGCCTGGTACATGGTAGTTGCAAAATAAATGTTAATTAAATGAATGAATGGACAAATAAATGAGCAAATGAAAGAAACACTAAATTGGAAGTAGTTTTGTATCCCTGGTTTGTTACATACAAGGGGGAAAGAAAAGTAAAGTGCTGGGAGATGAGAAAAGTAAGGAAGGCTCAGATATGATAAATTCTGCTGTTGATACAAAGTTTTTTTTTTATAGATTCAATGGAAAGTCATTAAAATATCTTCTCTACAAATTGATTTATCAGCAATATTTGTATGATTAGTATTTTATGCACACTTTATCCATTGGCATAGCTAATACAGATGTACCTTTATTTTCTAGAACATTGGCTTTCAAACTTTTTTTTAAGCAGCAGAATACTTCTTTTCAAAGAGGATCTTATCATAAACTGCAATATAAAAAAGAAAAGTGAGACCTGCTCTGGCTGAAGTAGAGGCAGGTAGCTGAAGCAGGCAGCTGACGCAGGCAAAAACTTCTGCCTGCTCAACCCAGGCTGCCTGTGAGGGACAATAGATCAAAAGCCACTGACTCTGAAGAGGCCAATATCTAAACATAACTCCTTAAATGGAAGAGTCTTTATGTCGTAAATGTATAACAGTAACCAATTCTTTTACTTGATGGTTAAATATAGAAATAGCTTTAGAATCTGCCATCTATCTCTCCTTCCATTAAGAGATTAAAACTTCACTCTTCTCTGATGACTAATGTTAGAAAGCATTGTAAATAATCATTAGCATTTAAAAAGTATTTTATTCCAAAAAGTAGGTTAAATCAACTGAAAGAAAATCTTGCTTGTGTAACACAGTAAGCACCAGACAAAGACAGAAGACTTAGGGACTAGTTTCAGCACTCCTCTTAACTGGCTTAATTAGCATATAGTATGGTGATATGATATACACATAAATAGAAAGGGAACGTCCATCACTAACCCTTATTGGGACCAGTATAGTTAAGGGGTAGTTAACTACCTTGGTTAAGCCTTTTAATTAACATTCTCTAATACCTCACTTACCTTGTTAATAAAATGAAGTGGCTGGAATCACCACTGGATTTCAAACTTTTCTGGCCACAACTCAAAGTAGGAAATACATTTTAAATATTGACTAAGTACATATATATGCATATAAAATTTAAACAAAAATTTCATGAAATGATGCTTACCTTTATACTATGCCTTGCAGCCTACTATGTTCTATTCCTTCCTATTGCATCTTATTAACAAAATATTGGTCATGACCCACTAAATTGGTTATCTCTCCCATGGTTATGACCCATACTTTGGAAAACACTAAACTGATAATCTCTATGGCCCTTTTGTGTCTAAAATTATGGAATTCTAACATCAAGATTTGTGACTGACATCACAGAAATCTCCAGAATGTCAAGCATATGGTAGATGCTCAATTATCATTTAATTGTCTTTTACTATGTCAAGGAAATTATTTGAATATTTAAATTAACCTAAGTAATTTTAATTACTTAATGTTTTGGGTTCTGTTTTTGGTTTTTTCTTTCTTTCTTTTTTTTTTTTCTTTGAGACAGGGTCTCACTGTGTTGCCCAGGTTGGAGTGCAGTGGTGTTATCATAGCTCACTGCAGCCTTGACATCTTGGGCTTAAGCAATTCTCCCACCTCAGCCTCCTGAGTAGCTGGGACCACAGGCACATAGCACCATGCCCAGCTAATTTTTGTATTTTTTGTAAAGATGGGTCTCACCATGTTGCCCAAGTTAGCCTCAAACTCCTGGGTTCAAGTAATCCTCCCGTCTCAGCCTCCTAAAGTGTTGAGATTACAGGCATGAGCCACTGTGTCCAGCCTACTTAAAGTATTTAAGGTGCCAGTTCCTTCAAGAAGTCTTCCCCAGTTCCTCTGAATTCCTATAGTACATCATCTGTGCCTTTCTTATTATATCATACTAAAATATGATACACATAAATCATACAGTAAATGTTCAACAAAAAACATAAATTGATCAATAGACACCGCTGTAAGTATCCAACATACAGTAATTTATTTCTTCCTCAAACTATATGGTTAAAATATAGATGGGGAAACTGAGTCTCAGGAAGGTCACTGAAGCAAACACTGAGTGACAGAGGCAAGTACTCTGAATCCAAGGACAGTCCCCTGCCCATTAACTACACTGATCCCAATAAGAATTAGTGATAACCACTTTCTAATTTTATTACAGTGATGCACACACACACATATATCTGATCTTACTGTTAAACAGGCAAAATATTTAATAGTAGAGATCATGTTCCCCTTTTCTATGTAACTCCTATATCACATTCTATATGCTAAGAACACCAATTAAATGAATGAAATAACACGTGTGCATGTGTCTGTGTGTCTATTACATAAACACAAAATTTCATAGGTAGACTTAGACTGTCTTCATTTCACACTTATTCTAATAGAGCCTAAAACTATAATTAATATTTGAAGACTAACTCCCTCTTAATGTGCACAAATAAGGTGTCTGTAAGACTACCTGGAATATTTATTATGATTCTTCCATATTATATTAGGTCTAATAACAAGTGAGACTTGCTGCACTGTCCTGGAGCTAAATAGATTGTAGTTTCATAAGGGCTTACCTTTATTTGGCCATGTAAATAGTCAAAATTTGATGGGCTACATGAATTTAAAGCATGACTAATAACCCCAATTTACTCAAATCACAAGTTTTCTGTTTTTCGTTTTGATAAATGTGATATCTACATAAGAGCTGTATTGAAAAATCTTTGTCATGTTTATAATCTCTTTATTTTAGATGGCAGATAATAACCAGGCACATAAAATCTGTACTCTCCTCTCTGCCACTTCTTTTTATTTTTTATTTTTTTGAGATGGAGTCTCGCTCTGCCACCCAGGCTGGAGTGTAGTGGCACTCTCTCGGCTCACTGCAACCTCCACCTCCAGGTTCAAGCGATTCTCCTGCCTCAGCCTCCTGAGTAGCTGGGATTACAGGCACCCGCCAGCACACCTGGCTAATGTCTGTATTTTTAGTAAAGACAGGGTTTCACCAACCTGTCTTAGGAGGCCAAGGAAGGCAGTTTGCTTGAGCCCAGGAGTTTGAGACCAGCCTAGGCAACATGGCGAAACCTCATCTCTACAAAAAATACAAAAATTAGCCAAGCGTGGGGGCATGTGCCTGTAGTCTCAGCTACTTGGTAGGCTGAGGTGGGAGGATCGCTTGAAACAATCTATACAGTTTTGGGTTAATTGTGCCCTCTCCAGGCAGTTCTGTAATGTATCTTAGTTATTCAACTACATACCAGGAGTACCAAACTGGATGCAATTTTCCAGAGTCCTGACATAGTCAGGTTCACTAAGTTTAATCACATAAAGACTATTGGCTTTTTCCATGTTCTTGATCCATTTATTAGCCTGACTTTGAGGATCTATCATCAGAGGCCACCTTCTTGCATTCCTGAAAAGGAGGAGAAAGACGATGCTGGTCAAGCCATGATTTGTTTCTACACTACTTAATCATGTTCACATCACAGGTCACTTTTTAAAAGTTTGCCCTTTATTGTAATATTTTACTTTTTAACTTATGAGAAACTATGTTCTTAAAACAGAGACGTGTAGATTGAGTGGGCTACCTGAACGGCAACTACAGAAACCATCCTGCAAAGTTCGCACAAGTTATTATACTCTTTTTGGAAAATTACATTTTCTAAATGTTAAATTACACTTTTGAAAATATTTGCTGCTCTTGCTAATTATGTCACAGTGACAACCATCAAGAGGACTGCGTTGGAAATAAGGAAACTCCAGTTCTTCACTAAGCCCTCCCATTAATGAATCATGTGACCTTGAGTAAGTCACTTTGCTTCCTTAGTTCCCACCTGCTGTCATTTGTATAATAGGGAAAGAGGTTTGGAATATTATATCTCAAAATCTAGACCATTAAAGAAATAACGGCCTAACAAAAAGGTAAAAAGCATAATTTTATATCATCTGAACTTCATAATATCCAGGGACACTTAAGTGTTAACACAATTGTTGACCCAATCTTTGTTTCAAACACTTCTGTATTTAGTGTCATATATGTAGTTCATTACATATTTGCTTTATGATAAGAACAAAGGCAATACCCCAGGAGGAACCCAGTTTATTTTCTAGGGTGTAGTGAACAGATGACTTCATCAGTATCTGCAATTACTGTATGATATTCAACCACATAGCTTTCCACCTTGTGTGAAATGTAATTGGCAACAAAATCACTATTCTTTCTCTTTCTCTTAGAAGTTTCAATCAACACAAGCTCTAATCCTGGCCAATTTTCTAAAGATACTGCCACACCCTTCAAAAGTGAGCAGAGCATGAGAAGTACGACATTTTAATGAAATTAAGTAAAAAAAAACCCACAAAAAACAAAAGTGAGCAGAGCCAATTCATTTAGGTCATTAGAAGAGCAGGAGGAGAAAATAAAAGGTGACTGAGGCAAAAAAAAAAAAAAAAAAATTGAAAAGAAAAAAAGGTAGGGGGATATAACAGGATAACATATTAAATTCACTCTCATTATAACATGAAATTGGAACGTCAATGGATGACTTGTCCCCCAAAATAAAAAAAACCATATTTTTATCAGTTATTAGTTAGAGCCTGGTATAAAACATGTAGCTTAGGCCGGGTGCGGTAGCTCATGCCTGTAATCCCAGCACTTTCGGAGGCCGAGGTAGGCGGATCATGGGGTCAGGAGATCGAGACCATCCTGGCCAACATGGTGAAACTCCGTCTCTACTAAAAATACAAAAATTAGCTGGGCGTGGTGGTGCATGCCTGTAATCCCAGCTACTCAAGAGGCTGAGGCAGGAGAATTGTTTGAACCAGGGAGCCAGAGGTTGCAGTGAGCCGAGATTGCACCACAGCACTCCAGCCTGGCGGCAGAGCAAGACTCTGTCTCAAACAAAACAAACAAAAAAACAAACAAAAATGTAGCTTAGATAAAAAAGAAAATAGTTTTCTTATCCTCCAATGTGAGCATTATCCTTGTGTCACTCTGGCTGCCATAACAGTATACCACTGACTGAGTGGCTTAAACAACAGAATTTATTTTCTCACAGTTCTGGACCCTGAAAGTCCAAGACTAAGGTTTCAGCAGGTTTGGTTTTTGCAGAGCCTCTCTCCTTGACTTGCAGATAGTACCTTCTTGCTGTGTCCTATATGGCCTCTGCTCCATGCAAGATGTTCCTGGTGCTGCTCCCTCTTCTTACAAGGACACCATTACTATTTGATTAGGGCTCCCCCTTAAGACCTCATTTAACCTTAGTTACCTCTTTAAAGGACCTATGTTCAGGGCCAGCATGGTGGCTTACGCTTCTAATCCCAGTGCTTTGGGAGGCTGAGGTGGACAGATCACTTAAGCCCAGGAGTTCGAGACCAGCATGGATAGCATAGCAAAACCCCATCTCTACAAAAAACAATTAGCAGGCATGGTGGCAGGCACTTGTAGTCCCAGCTACTTGGGAGACTGAGGTGCGAGGATCACTTGAGTTTGCAGTGAGCTGGGATTGTGTCACTGTACTCCAGCCTGGGTGACAGAGTGAGACCCTGTCTTAAAAAAAAAAAAAAGAAAGGCTCTATCTCCAAATACGGTCACATGGGAGTCATGGCTTCAACATAAAAATTTGGTGGGGCAGCATAATTCAGTCTATGACATTAATTATGTAAGAAAAGACATCAAAAGAGTAATGTAACATCTTAGATGCAATTAACTAATGAAAAATCACTCTAAAGAGAGTGAGAGAAGGGAAATTAGAAAGAAATAAAAATATAAATATATAAAAAGTTTTCATTATGTCACATTTTAGAAATATATTTTTAAGTTTGGAGGATTATGTGTGAATGTTAAACAGCATTTATGCTTTCCTAAATAAATTGAATTACTCACTCTTGTATCACTTCCACATTTTTTAGCCACAATACCTATGTTCATCCTGTTTATTTGTCCAAAATGCACTTCTCTCCCATCTTTTCCCATTTAAGTCCTACTCATGTTTGAACATCAGCTCAAAAGCTATATAGTCCACAAAGCCTCTCTCCATCTCTTTTCTCTCTGAACTTCTTTAGCAATTCATCCATGTTATATTTATGGTATTTGCATGTAATGGTAATATTCTATTATGGTAATTCTATAATTCCTTAGCCGCATCATCCAACTAAATTGTTTATTCCTTTAAAGGAAGGGTCCATGCTCATTCTTTATTCTTTTTTTCCTAGATCAAATAAAGGTTGCATGTGACAATCTACTGATATTGAAACAGTAAAGTCATGGGGCAAACACCATACAAATTAAATAATTCTAAAGCTTGAAATTCTCTAAGAGATTATCCCTGCACAGAAAATACTTGTCCAATAAGCAGCATTTCAAAACCAGAGGAAAGGACTTCTGATTCTAACCAAGATGGGCTGGGCTTTTTACAGCCTATCTCTTTCACTGATTACATCTAAAAATGTTGAACAAAATACAAAAAACAACTACTTACAGATTCTAAAAAGTAAATAATAACAAGTGAATGGGAGAAAAATCCTAACTTGAGGAATTATCAGTAATGGGGTAGTGAGTTTTCTAAGTTTCTTCTTTCTTTCTATTTTCTGGCTTAGTGGGGGAACCATGCAGCAGGCACAGGTAGCAATAACTCAAAATAAGTAACTGAAAAAATGACCATATGTGAGCCAGAGAGCATGGGCATAAATCCATGTTTTATTTCATGTTTTGCTTTTTTTTTACTTTATTCTCCTTTATCTCTACCCCAAGGTTAACCCCACTCACAGAACTGTATTATCATGACAGAAAAAGCAGTGGTGCAGTTACCCAAAACACTGAGCAAAAACCTGTCTCTCTGGACAGAAGTAAAAAAAGAGGCCCCTGTTGTACACAGAATGTAAGGGAAATCCAAGTATTTTTCTTTTTTCTTACCACTTTGCCCCCAGTGTTGGCATGAAATTGTGCAATAGCAAGGGAAGAGAAAACTCTGAAAGAACTTCATCATTTTGGCCATTAAAAAAGTATAAAAAAGGTGCCCCTGGGATATGGAAAGTGGGGCAGGGGTAGGATAAATTCTGAAAAGACCTGAAGCTGTGCATGCATGGAACACTTCTAAAGAAGCATATCAGAGGCTTTAAACAATATCATAAATCCTAGTCCATTTAACTCCTGAGTAATGAATGCCGAGGAGTAGATTCAAACAGTATAGTGAAGGCTTACAAATCTGAACTGACATTGCAACATCACCCACAGAAGGAGAACTAAGAATTGTGATCTAAACTTAACTGAGTTATTTGACTGCTAAACCAAAAAATCAATCTTATCCAGAGGATTTTGACAGGACCTAGAGTCTCATATTCAAAATTTCCAGGATGCAATCCAAAATTACTCAACACACAAAGAATAAGGATGTGATTAATTCTCAAAGAAATAGACAGATTTGAAATTACCAGAAAAAACTTTAAAGCAGATATTATAACCATCCTCCATGAGACAAAGGTGAACATTTTTGAAATAAATAGAGACATTCTCAGGAGAAAAAAAAACAGAAAGGATAATGAGCACCAAATGGAAATTTTAGAACTGAAAAACATAATATCTGAAATTAAAAGTCCCATAGTATGGACTCAGTAGCAGAACAGAGATAACAGAAGAGTCAGTGAAGCTGAAGATAGATGAATATATATAGTCCAATTTGATCAACAAGGAGAGACACTATCAGATTGGATAAAACTATACGATCCAACTGTCAGCTGTCTACAAGATACCCACTTTAAATATAATAATATAGTTATATTAAAAGTAAAATGATGGTAAAAGATATACCATGAAAACACTAAACAAAATAAAGCTGTACTGGCGATAGTATATTAGAAAAAATAGACTTCAGAACAAGAAAACCATCAAGGATAAAGGGGGACATATGCAACAACAAAAGGGTCAATTCATCAAGAAGACATAATAGTCTTTAATGTGTATGCCTCTAACAACAGAGCTCCAAAATAAATAAAGCTAAAACTGATAAGACTGAAGAGAGAACAAGTAGACAGAAAACTAGCAAGGATATTGAAGCCATGAACAACAGTATCAAGCAATTCAACCTAACCAACTTTCAAAATGCCATTCACTCAATAATAGCAGGATATTTTTTCCAAGTGCACATGGAACATTAAAAATATAGACAAGTTTTATGCTATAAAACAAACCTTAAAAAATTTTAAACAACTGGAATCATACAATGATAGTCTGAAAATAACAAATAAATTTGAAATTAAAAACAGTAACAAAAAAATACCCTAAAAGTCTCCAAGTATTTGGAAATTAAAAAAATATATTTCTGAAAAATCCATGAATCAAAGAGGAAATTTCAAAAAAAATTAGAAAATTCTTTAAAGGAAATTAAAATTAAAATAAAACATCAAAATTTGTGCTATGTAGCTAAAGCAATACTTAATGTGAAACATATAGCATTAAGTCCATGGATTAGAAAGGAGAAATCTAGAATCAATAACCTTCCACCTTAGGAAACCAGAGACATAAAAGTAATTTATGCCTAAAGCAAACAGAAGCAAAGAAATAATAAATATTAGGGAAGAAATCAGTATTATTGAAAACAAAAAAAGAATGGAGAAAAACAATGCAACCAAAGGCTTGTTCCTATATAGGATCAACAAAATTTATCAAACTCTAGCCAGATTGACCAAGAAAATAGAAAGAATACACAAATTATCAAATCAGAAGTGATAGGTGAGATTATCATTACAGACCCTACAGACATTAAATAAATATTAAGGAAATACTATAAACAACTCTCTGGTCATACATTTAACAGCTTAGATGAAACTGAGCAATTTCTGAAAAGACAGAAACTGCCAAAACTCACTTAGGAAGAAATAGATCACCTGGATAGACCTGTTACTATTTCAAAAATTGAATTCATGGATAAAATCTTTCAATGACAAAAAAATTCCAGGCACAGATAATTTCTTTGGTCATTTCTATGAAACATTTAAGAAAGAAATAATTCTAATTCTACATGATCTCTTCCACAAAATAGGAGAGAAGACTTCCCAATTCCTTTTAGGAGGCCAGCATTACTCTGAAAGCAAAACCATACAGACATTACAACAAAATAAAACACAGATCAATATTCCTCATGAACATAAATGCAAAACTCTTCAAAGCACATTAGCAAATCGAATCCAAAAATATATAAATAAGAGAATACATTATGACCAAGTAGAGTTTAATCTGGAAATGCAAGGCTAGTTCAACATTCAAAAATCAATCGGTACAATTACCATTTTAACAGACTAAACATAAAAAAACTGTAGGATCAACTCAATAGACGCAGAAAAAACATTTCACAAAATTTAACATCCATTAATGTTAAAAACCATCAGCAAACTAGGAATAGAAGGGAGTCTCTTTCACATGATACAAAGGAGGTAAAAAAACCTACAGCTAATACCACATGTGATAGTAAAAAACTGATTCTCTCTAAGATCAGGTAAAAGGCAACAGTGTCTGATTTCATCAACCCTGTTCATCATTATACTAGAAGCCCTTGTCAGTGCAATAAGCTAAGAAAAAGAAATAAAAGGCATACAGATTAGAAAGTAGTAAGTTAAACTGTCACTAATTGCAAACAGCATGATTGTCTACATATAAAATATTCCAATATATCTACATAAAAGATCCCAGAACTAATAAATGAGTTTATTAAAGCTACAGGGTAAAAAGTCAATATTCAAAAATAAACTGCTTTCCTAATGAATAGTTGAACACAATCTTTTAAGTACCACACAGAAATAAAAGAAATACTGGGTATAAATCTAACCACAAAACACTGATGAAAGAAATCAAAGGAGGCCTAAGTACACAAAGAAATACACTGTGTTCATATAGTAGAAATATATACTAAGTTGTCAATTCTTCTCAAATTGATCTTAGATTCAATTAGTACCAATACAAATCCCAGGAAGATTTTGTGTAGTCATTTAAAAATTGATTCTAAAATTTATATGTAGAGTTACAAGTAGACAAAACAATTTTGAAAAAGAAGAACAAATGTGAAAGATATAATACCTGACTTTGAGACTTAATATGCTTCAATAATCAAAGAAATATGGTATTTACATCAAGACAAATAGGTAAATGGAACAGAGAACTCAGCAACAAACCCACATGCATGTGAACCAATGATTTTCAACAAAGACGTAAAGGCAATCCGATTTTAAAAAGGATAATATTTTCAACAAATTATGCTGGAACAATTGTATATTTTCTCTCTCTTTCTCTTTCTCTCTCTCTGTCTCTCTCTCTCCTCTCTCCCCTCACCCCCAACCCTCTTTCCCCATATATGGATGTGTGCAATTATACACAAACAAATCTTTTGTTGTTCCATATCCAGTTAATAACTATATCAAACTTATTTTTCCCAGACAACAGTCTTAATGTAACATCTTTTTTATCCAAAGACAGGATGTTTGTGACTTCAGCTTATATTCAATTTTAAAGATTTGGGCTTCCATAGAATAACATATTAGATGAATAAAATTTTAAAGGAGATAATCTTCAATGTAGATAAAAAAGAAAATACTAGTTTAACAAATATACCAACAATTGTGGAAAGCTGTATGCAACAAACTGATTTAAATAACTTCAGTCTTTGGATGAATACAAATTCTGAATTCAAAACGAACAAGCACTACATTTACTTGCTTACTTCTTCTCCATTATTATTTTGTATTTTTTTTTTAACAAGAAAATGTTTTTCTCCACATAATCTTTCTCTCTTTTACTTCCTCCATCAAACATTCTTGAATCTACAAAGGCTTTAAAATCAGTGGTTCCCAAATGGAAATTGAATTTTTATAGCACTCAATGTTCCAAGTTTTGACAGTGTGTATTCTTTTGTTACTGTCTAGAGAGGATTGTTATTTGGTGCTTTTGTGGGCTTTTTGAAAACATGGACTTCTAACAGTGAAAATACATGTTCACAGCAGTTGCACAGACCACAGATTTTGAATATGAAGCAGCAATACATTTCAGAGTTTTGATATTTTCGTTTTTACACACACATAAATTCATAAAAACAGACAAGGAAAGGTGTTATTCTTCTCAGTTATTATTGCTACTGAATTAAACCTAATATATCTCTCTTCTATGGAAATGAAAATTTACTTTTTTAAAAAGCAGAGTTATATCAGATACAGGTCTGATCTACTTACCAAGCTGTTAAATAATCCTAATCCTTTACCCGTGAAATGTTCAGATACAATCTAATTACATTTAATGTTATCACTAATCTTTGAAATTCTAATTAGCCAGGGACCTTTAGGAGTCAACAGCCCCAAAAGTTAATTATATTCTAACTTGCCCAAATTTTATAGATTCTTCCAGTTTTCCTAAATAATCGTCTCCTCACTCAGCTAAGATAATATGTGAAAAGCACTTAGCACAGGATTAGGTCCTCTGTGAGTGCTCAATATTAGATACTATCGTTGTCAAGCAAGAGTTTCTGGGGAATGGAAGAGGGCACTGCACAGGTAAAGAAGATACTTAGCTGATACTTCAAAGTGATCACTTTAAACATATTTACTGAAAGCTTTCAGTATAAGATTACCAAAATATATTGGGAAAAGAAGCCAAGAATGAAAATTGTTAATATTTTCTTCTTAGTATAGTTGCTACCACAACTTTCTGCTAATATTTCAACATTTCTACAAATGAATAGTAAAGATGTAGGGGTTATGACTCATTAACATAATTTTCTGTCTCCATCCCTCCCAAAATGTGAGTGTGCTGTCTTGAAAAATAATCACTGAATGGTTTAGAATCTTATATGCAGATATATCCATCAACAGTTCTATTATTTTTGAAATATGACTAGACCCCAAAATAAGGGTATGTTTATTTGCTAGAAAACAAGATGCAATTTGGCCTCTGATGGTGGATACAGTGGTTATAGATGTCCTGCTAGGCAGAACCATGATATATAAATTGCAAATCAAGACAATGACTACCACTTCAGTAACTACTAATATGTAGGACATGACCAGCTACGTTCACAAGAGCTTGAGAAGAGCCAAAGCTCTTTTCTGAGATAAAAACAATAACAAAAGCAGCAAATATTTGACTATTTTCATGCTGTAGTTAATTGGTCCAGCTAGACAAAAGTGAAAGTAAAAGTTAGACTTCCAAAATTTCAGAGATCTCCCACCTGTGTCAATCTGTAAGGTATATTCTAACACTAAACATCAACACACACTGCCTGCATGCCACATGTTAAGTAATTCAACAACGAGCTGCCCTTCTGTGCTTTGTAAAAGGCGCTTAAAAATCTGCTAAAATCTTTATTTTAGCAGCCAGCTAATGCACATATTTATCATTGATTTTAGATTATCTATTTTCTCCTTGGATTAATTTAGATTATTGGATCAGAGTACCCAGTATTTTAGTTCCCCAAAGTAAAGCTTAGTGATTTTTTCTCTAAATAAATAAAATAATTAAATTTAACTTTAGCTCCTGAAAAAGTTGGTCTCTTTAACTACAGTTTACTTGGTTAAAAAACAAAAACTATGTGATACAACTTTTTATTTTTGTCTTAGTTATCAGAAAGCGTCAAACTTAATTCAGGGCCCAGCTATAGGAATTAGCTTGTCTCAAATTCTAACAGTAACTACTCCTTTAACTTACCCTAGGTGGTCTCATCAGATTTTATCTTGTTTTATACTATAATCATACTGCACATACCTCAAATTCTTGTAGAACAATTTAGTAAATGAATGCTAAAGAAATCCATATGTCAGGATAATTTATTGGAAAATAAATGTGTTCACCAGAGTTTTAATTTGTAAAATGATTTTCATAAATACTATGTAGAGGCCAGGCGCAGTGGTTTAGGCCTGTAATCCCAGCATTTTGGGAGGCTGAGGCGGGCACATCACAAGGTCAGGAGATCGAGACCATCCTGCCTAACACGGTGAAACCCCATCTCTACTAAAAATACAAAAAATTAGCCGGGCGTGGTGGCAGGTGCCTGTAGTCCCAGCTACTCGGGAGGCTGAGGCAGGAAAATGTCATGAACCTGGGAGGCGGAGCTTGCAGTGAGCCAAGATCGCACCACTGCACTCCAGCCTGGGCAACGGAGTGAGACTCCGTCTCAAAAAAAAACAAAAAACCCAAAAACCATATACATAAAATTTAGGAATAACTAGTCTCCACATTTAGTGTTTACTTCTATTTTAAAAGTTTCCATGCCTCAAACATTTTTACTTTAAAAAGTACCATCATATCAATTACTTTTTCATAGTAACCTAACAATTAGTCAAAATAGTCATGTAACACAGAGCATTTCCTACTGATAGTAGGAAATATCTGTGCTATCGTTAACATGCTAAAACTCTGAGAAAACTGGCCGAGTGATAAAAGGCTCACGGTAATGTGAACTTGGAAATAATACAAGATTGTCCTCACACTGTGACAGGCTGAAGTCCTTGGTTTCTGGGAGGTGAGACCTGGAGGAGAGGGTAAGGCAGACAAGCCTTTAATATTCTCCCAGCCCAGACTACACAGGTTTTCTCTACTAACCAGGAAACTACAGGTATAATGGCTACTATTCCCTATCAGTGTAGGACCCAGAAATACATCCATCTAATTTAAAACAGTCCCACACTAGGGACTAAGACGGAATTTGGAACACCCTGCCCAATCACCACCAATGACACACTAATGCACATTTCATTAACCTCTAATAACAAAACCCTGTATTTTATGGAAATGAAAATTTTGGACTTCCCTTACTTAAGGCAGGGTTTTGCTCTATTTGCTAAAAATTAATTTAAAAAAATTAAGTACAAGTCATCTGGTTCATTTGTTTACTACAGTGTCTAATACTCAACTATTATAATATTAATAAGAGAAGGAAGTGATTACTCATACTTAATTTCACTAATTAGTTAAGTAATTTTTTAATACTGTAAAAGTTTGCTACCTAAAATTGTTAAAGGAACACAGATAAATCTACTGTTATTTAATAAAGACCATTTGTGAGAAAAATATTTTTCTTACATTATGATTATCCCATTATCAATGGAAAATGAGTCAGAAGGTAATCCAGCAATATTCCAAGTTCGAATTGTCACAGCTTCTCCCAGGGTACCCATAAGAGAGCAATCATCTGAGCAGGGGATATCTCTTCCTTTGCACAAAGTTGTCCACTCTTTAGTTTGATTCTTTAGAACATCCACAGAAAGATAAAGAAATGAGACTGGAGGTTATCAAAAGCATGCTTTATAATTCCTCAATTTATACTGTATTCATTGAGTCAACAAACCATTGTGGAAACTCTACCTCAAAAATGATTTCTGTTTCTCAGATTCTTATTTCAAATAAAATTTTAATTGAGAAGGTCAGCTATGTACTCAACATATTCAATGTTGAGATAAAAGTCTAGATTAAGCACTTAAGTCAGAATTTTGTATCTGGAAAAAATAATTACCAATTGTTATTATAAAGCTTCATTTTCAAGGCTACTCCTATCAAACTACCAATGACATTTTTCACAGAATTTGGAAAAAGTATTCTAAAATTCATATGGAACCAATAAAGAGCCCGAATAGCCAAAGCTATCCTTAGCAAAAAGAACAAAGCCAGAGGCATCACATTATCTGACTTTGAACTATACTACAAGGCTCCAATAACCAAAACAGCATGATACTGGTGCAAAAACATAGATGAATGGAACAGAATAGAGAGCACAGAAATAAAGCTGTACACCTACAAGCATCTGATCTTTGACACAGTTGACAAAAATAAGCAATGGAGAAAGGACTCCCTATTCAATAAATGGTGCTAGGGTAACTGGCTAGCCATATGCAG
Source organism: Homo sapiens (assembly GCF_000001405.40). Taxonomy (NCBI): domain Eukaryota; kingdom Metazoa; phylum Chordata; class Mammalia; order Primates; family Hominidae; genus Homo; species Homo sapiens. Next base: position 195,845,812 of record NC_000002.12, read on the forward strand.
AAGACTGAAATTGGACCCATTCGTTACGCCATATACAAAAATCAACTCAAGATGAATTAAAGACGTAAATGTAAAACCTAAAACTATAAAACCTTAGAAGAAAACCTAGGAAATACCATTCTAGACATAGGCCCTGGCCAAGATTAAATGGCAAGGATGCCAAAAACAATTGCAACAAAAACGAAAATTGACAAGTGGGACCTAATTAAACTAAAGAGCTTATTCACAGCAAAATAAACTATCAGCAGAGTAAATAGACAACCTACACAATGGGGAGAAACATTTGCAAACTATGCATCTGACAAAGGTCAATATATCTAGAATCCATAAGGAACGTAAACAAATTAACAAGCAAAAAACAACTCACCCCTTTAAAAAGTAGGCAAAGAACATGAACAGATACTTCTCAACAGAAGACATACACGCAGCCACAAGGATATGAAAAAATGCTCAACATCGCTAGTCATTAGAGAAATACAAATCCAAACCACAATGAGATACCATCTCGCACCAATCAGAATGGCTTTTGTTAAAAGTGAAAAAACAACAGATGCTGGCGAGGTCACAGAGAAATGGGACTGCTTATACACAGCTGGTGGGAATGTAAATTAGTTCAGCCATTGGGCAGAGCAGTGTAGTGATTTCTCAAAGAACCTAGAACTATTATTCAACTCAGCAACCCCATTACTGTGTATATGCCCAAAGAAATATAAATTGTCCTACCATAAAGACACATGCATACTGTGATGGTTAATACTGAATGTCAACTTGATTGGATTGAAGGATGCAAAGTATTGATCCTGGGTGTGTCTCTGAGGGTGTTGTCAAAGGAGATTAACATTTGAGTCAGTCAGCTGGGAAAGGCAGACCCACCCTTAATCTGGGTAGGCACCATCTAATCTGCTGACAACACAGCCAGGATATAAAGCAGGCAGAAAAACGTGAAAAGGCTAGACTGGCTTAGCCTTTCAGCCTACATCTTTCTCCCATGCTGGATGCTTCCTGCCTTCAAATGTGAAGACTCCAAGTTCTTCAGCTTTGGAACTCAGACTGGCTTTCTTGCTCCTCAGCTTGCAGATGGCCTATTGTGGGACCTTGTGATCCTGTGAGTTAATACTACGTAATAAACTCCCATATATGTGTGTGTGTGTGTGTGTGTGTGTGTGTGTGTATCCTATCAGTTCTGCCCTTTTAGAGAATCCTATTAGTTCTGTCCCTCTAGTAGTTAATACTACTTTATAAACTCCCATATATATATATATATATCTGATATATATATATCTGATTCTTCAGATGGTGGGATATCGGATATATATATATCTTATATATATATCAGATATATACTTATATATATAAACAGATATATATATATCCTACTAGTTTTGTCCCTCTAGAGAATCCTAACACACATGTGTATGTTCATCGCAGCACTATTCACAATAGCAAAGACATAGAATCAACTCAAATGGTACATATACACCATGGAATACTATGCAGCCATAAAAAAGAGTAAGATCATGTCCTCTGCAGCAACATGGATGGAACTAGAGGCCATTAACCTAAGCAAACTAATGCAGGAAAAGGAAACCAAACACTGCATGTTCTCACTTATAAGTGGGAGCTAAATGATGACAAGGCATAGACACAAAGAAGGGAGCAATAGACACTGGGGCCTACTTGAGGGTGGAGGGTGGGAGGAGGGTGAAGACTGAAAAACTACCTACTAGATACTATGCTTATTACCTGGGTGATGACATAATCTGTACACCGAACCCTGTTGACACACAATTTGGTTATGTAAAAAACCTGCACATGTACCCCTGAACCTAAAAGTTAAAAAAAAAACAAAAAAAACAAAGATTCAATTTACAAAGTAGTTGGGACCACCACATTTTTCCAAGTATTTTCTTTATGTTACAAATATCTAGCACATACAATATTATAGTAGAAAAGTAAATCCATTTTGAACCAGTAGGAGAGACGGAAAACTTTTACTTCTGACTCACATGCCCTGCGAGTGGCTACGGCAGGGCATTTCAGTGCCAATAAGGATCAGGGCACATAATGCAGTTTGTGAGACTCTACCTGGGGGACAGTCTGTAGGATGCTCAGGAACCCGGGCGGTACTACAAGCCAAGGTTCGTGTTCAGAAAGTCAGAAGTCAGTATCCAAGTTGAGTTTACAGATAAAAGATTTCAGAAATAGTGAAAGACATAACTGGAGAGAAAGGAGTTAGACGAAGGCAAGGGGAAGGTGGATATGTATGGTGCTGGTACCAGCCTCTGGGTTGATGAGGGTGCTGGGTGCTCACAGGTGGCGCTGGCTGAGAGGCCACGCTGGGCACTGCCATCTCCCTCAGGCTCCTGCTGAGTAGGCTGGACCAACATTCCTTGAGGTTTGCACAAGAAAGGGCATCACAGTTTTGGGGGAATTGATGACATTCATGACCTTGATAAGCCTGTTAACATTATGCAGAAGCCCCACAACTGGGTCTGTATGGTGTTCCATCATGATTCCTGGCACCATGCCAGGTTATGCATCTTTGGCAGAAATGTCACAGAAATCATGTGCTCTTCTCATTGCATCCATCAGATGGCACACAATTTCATTTCTGATGACACTTTGATGTTCATTTACTGATGACACTAATTTTTATCACTTGATTAAAGTGTTGTCTGCCAGGCTTCTGTGTCATAATTATATGAGCTTATGTGTGATTATAGATTCTTCAGATGGTGGGATGCAACGCAAAGACACTCAGATAAATGAAAGGCAGAACTCTGTTAGTTATAGCTCCAAATGGAGAAGGCTGCACACAGGGCCACACAGGTGTTGTCAGGAGACAGTGTAGCATCAAGCTAGAGCTGTGGGAGGCAGTTTATATATGGTAAATGGGATGGAATTAGCTGGGTTTCACATGTTTCCTGGGGGTTGGGTATTTTGAATCATTCTGTGGTTGCAAGGAAGAAGGGGCTGTCCCTGGTATCTGGGGGCCTCTGGAAGCTATCTATTGTAACCCGGGAGTGTTCCAGCCTAGTAAAGAAAATGGTTGGGGTGAGGGCTTAGCAAACTACTTACAAGAAAGAATTCTGCGTTTTTAACTGTTATTTAAAATGGTTAAGACAGCACTTGTGAAATATTATATTATAACTTCCCCACTGTTAAATTGCTCTTTTCCCCATTCCCTTTGCAGGTAATAAGCATTCTGCGGGGAGATACTTTGTAACCATGAAAATGTCCTGTTTTTTTCAAACATTCAATTTTTTTATTACTAATTTATGTCAGCATAGATTCATCTTTTTCATATTTTATCCAATGAGTTATGTTACTGTCACTATTTATTGCGATGCTGAAATTGTCCAAGTTTGGCCAGTGGGAATACCCTTAAGCTAAATTCTGTGTCCTTTTGACATGGCCCCATCTTTCTCTGGGTACTTCCTTACTCTTGCTCAAAAAAGACATTTCAGCTTTATCTTACAGTGAAGTCCAAGATAGCCAAAGATAATCTTCCTACTTTAAGCTCAGTTGACTAGCAACCATAATTCCATCTGCAAAGTCCCTTTGCCATGTAACGTGGCATAGTTACAGATACAACACTTGGAGGTGAAGATCATAGGGGCCAAAATTCTCCCTAGCATAAGTACTTAATAAATATCATCTGGCTATTTTGTTTTATTTGGTTGTTGATATGAGGAACAGATGGTATTGCTACGTAGGGAGGAGGGACAGATAGCATTTCCAGTTTGACTTCTATACACAGTTGCTTCTGGCATGTTTTATTTTTAATTTTTTAATTATTATTTTTTTGAGACGGAATCTTAACTCTGTCACCCAGGCTGGAGTGCAGTGGCATGATCTTGCTCACTGCAACCTCTGCCTCCTGGGCTCAAGCAATCCACCCACCTCAGCCTCCAAGCAGGACTGGGACTACAGGCACACACCACCATGCCCGGATAATTTTTTGTATTTTTTGTAGAGACAGGGTTGTACTATGTTCCCTAGGCTGGTCTCAAACTCCTGAGCTCAAGCAATCGGCACACCTCAGCCTCCCAACATTCTGGGATTACGGGTGTGAGCCACCTCACCCAGCACTACTGGCATGTTTTGTTCCATTTGTTTTCAGGCTGTAGGTTGGCCTACAGACATTTTGGAGAGGTCTGCAAGCTTTCTTGGATCTAGCTTGAAGCTGGAGTAGGCATGCTAGCCTATGACATAGGGAAGAAGTAGAGAAAATAGAAGCAATAGTTTCTGCAGAATGCTCAGCTTAGAGTTGACAGGTATAGTATGTTACCACAGATGAACTCTGGATTAGCAATTTAAGAGGCCTAATTACATGTCTATAAGGGTGTAATATCAGAGAATAACCAAAATGAGCATGGAGGACTCCGAACAAGCATCTCAAAATTCAAGCCAATGGCCTTGGCTGGTAATCAGGTGATGAGCTAGATGGTGGATTTGCTGGCATAAGGTCATGAAAAAAAAAAAAGGGGAGAGAGAGAGAGATGGTAGAAGTGGAAAACTGGCCATTAAGAGTGTCATCTTGGTGAAAATACCCAACACCATTAAAACAGTTTCTACTTTGGTTATTGGCAGATAAAGGTCAATTAGAAGGTTCAAATTAATTCAAATCCAGGGCTTGTATATTCATAATAGCACTGTAGGATTCTGTTTTGGAAAATGGCACAGGCATTGCAGTTGAGAGCTGTGGGCCCAGTTACCCTGGAAGAATTGGATTTTCCTATGTTTTATTTATGAAAAGTGCCAGGAATCTATAAAAGAGTTGATAAATAATTGACGACTACTCAGATTCAAGCTTGGAGGGGAAATGCAGCTATTTATTGAGGGCCCTTGATATCCAGAGACTTGAAACCCTTTGATGTCAGAAAAGCACCAAATGTTGTAAGGTCTCTTAGTTTGGGTTCCCTGAAGCAGACTGTGGGATGAAGATTCATGTGAGGGGACATGCTGAGGAAAGGATGCAGGGGGAAGCAGGACAAGGAGGAGTAGAAGCCAATAAAGGGTGAGGGACCAGCCTAAGTTCTGCAGCAGGTGGCCTCGTTAGATGCCACAGGGAGCCTCCATAGTGTAAGCTATTCCTTGGAGCTGTCCCAACCAGGGGGAAGGGAGAGAGACTCCCATGCTCCCTTCAATTATTCATTAAGGACTGCTCAAGAGGGAAGTACATTCCCAGGCACTTCTTGCTCTCCAAACACTGGGTAAAGTGGGTTCTAGGAACCCAAGGGAAGTCTGACAGAAAGAGCCACAGGTGCTAGTCGTTGGGTGTGAAAGCACACAGAAGCCAGGAAGGGCTCTGGTCAGAGCCCTGATGTTTGCCATCCAACCCTTACGCTGAGAATTGAATGAGACAGTTTTGATGGGAAATAAACTGCTCGCTGTTTTGACCTGAGAGAAACAGATAAAAGAGTGAAGATGACAAAGTGGGACTCAGAATTAATCCACAGGAATTCCTTCCTGTGACATGAGAGTGACATGAGAGATTTGTTAAGGAAAGTAAAAATTCAGGTTGATCTAGCGAAGCAAGGAAGGAATAAAATTGCCTTCAAGCCTTCACAGAGATGAGGTGGCATGGGATGAAGTGACTACTTGAATCAAGGGTTCAGACAGTGAATGAGTTCACAGAAGGCACTCTGAGCTTTGGCATGTCTTGTGTCTAAGTTGAATGTGGCTTTGTGTCTGTCAGTAAATTTCCAAGTCTCAGTTCACATGCTTAAGGCACCCTTGAAGCATTTGTGTGGTGGTCTGACTAGCAGCCCCCCATTCTGATAGTAGCTAGGTGATGATGGCAAAGTCAGAAGAGGCAGTCCCTTGGACTGAGTCTGTCAGAGAGGGCCTGGTTGGGAGGATGGTACATCTAGCTCTCCAAGCACTGGGTAAAGTGGATTCTGCTAGTGCACTGGGTAGTGCTAATACACTTTCTGCTGAGCTCTGGAATGCTAGACAGGAGCCAGTGCAGACACCTAGTGATGTGCTCTGAACCAGCAGGGAAAGGTAAGGGTGGCTGAAGCTACTCCTTTTATTGTTCAAAATGTCAATGTAGGAGAGTAGGAAGAGTGCTAAATTAGGATGCAGGTAACCACTGAGTGCTAAAGACAGAAGCACCCACTAGGTGAGGATTTTAAACATTTAGTTAAAAACAACACCACTGGCAGGGCACGGTGGCTCACGCCTGTAATCCCGGCACTTTGGGAGGGCAAGGTGGGCAGATCATAAGGTCAGGAGATTGAGACCATCCTGGCTAACATGGTGAAACCCCGTCTCTACTAAAAATACAAAAAATTAGCCAGGCGTGGTGGCGGGCACCTGTAGTCCCAGCTACTTGGGAGGCTGAGGCAGGAGAATCGCGTGAACCCAGGAGGTGGAGCTTGCAGAGAGCCGAGATCGCACCACTGCACTCCAGTCTGGGCGACAGAGGGAGGCTCCTTCTCAAAAACAAACAAACAAACAAAAAAAGAAAAACACCACCACCAAGAGTCAACCCTCCTTAGGAGATAGTTCTGAAATTAAATGAGGCTCAATTGAGACCACGTGTAAGCCAATGCTCAGTGAAATTATAAAGCCCTATACAAAGGGGATGTAACATGTACTCTTTCTCATTTGACACCAAAAACTATTGCCAAATGTTCTGAATTCCTCCCTTCTTTTATTCTCATTATCATCCCTCCCATTTTTTCTTTTAGTTATCTTAATTTTTCTAAATCTCTTTGCCTGCTTTGATAGGGCCATGACCCAGGTTGGATTCCAGTTCCATTTTTCTAAAAAGAGCTGAATAGTATGTTGGGTCTCTCATTCAGTAAAAACTAAAAAGTGGAAGAGAAAGGCAGGAAGAATAATTAGGATTAACTCCTAGGGTTAGATGTTCCGCCAGGGAGAAGAAAGAGGCAGAATCAGTCAGAGAGGTGGGAGGCAAGGCAGGGAACGTGGGGTTTGTTTTCTAAGGAACAAAGCCACTTATCAACAGGGTTTTAGGCAGGCTCACCTTTTCCTCCCTTCAAGTTTCATTCCCTGAAATGATTTTGAAATGGCTTGTTATTGAGACTGATAGGAAACAGCTGATGAAGTACACACACACACACACACACACACAGAGAGAGAGAGAGAGAGAGAGAGAGAGAGAGACAGAGTTCTGATACCTTTTTACAGTACTTGCTTAGGAACTGAGATGTTATCAGTAGAGGCTACCATTTTCCCATTACTTTTTAAAAAAAATTTTATTTTTAATCAGGCAGCCCCAAACTAGAATAGGTTCAGAGACTCCCCATTTTCACATTACATTTTAAAGTAGATATTTTTGTTTTTAAAACAATTAGATTTTTGAAGAGTATATTATATGCATCTTTTGGCTAACCAGCTAATTTACAGAATAATTAAAATACACAAGCAGAAATCATGCAAAAATACCTTCCTCCTTGTACTTAACAAAAAACTGAAACCAAAGTAAAACAAAACCTTGAAGGGTTATATTGGCTGTGATGGGCAGAGGGTCAGGAAGAGATGGAATAGTGTCCCTTACCTGTCTATAGGTGGATGTGAAGGCTCCGAGGTAAGCAACCACTCCGGAGGAAATGAGGATATCCCCAGTCAAGTTGATGTACAGCTGACCTAGCTCCAGAGCTGTGTGGCTCCATCGAGTTTTCTCACCTCCAAGGCCTCCAATCAACTGTTCAGCTCGTTCTAGTTTTTTGCTGCAAAGGTCAACCTCGAAAATAAAAGTGAGCTTTTATCAACATTTACAAGTATAAGAAGTTTAAAATTCTGCAAGATTTTACCCTCAGAAGTGAATTATTATTTTTAATGACAGACTTCTGCCTGGGATTTCCTATATCACTATGATATAGGAAAGTCCATGATATTTTAGAATTTGTAAATATAAAGTGTCTAATATAATTCATGAAATTAATAATGAATGAATATTTACCATATAATACAAAGAACAGCTGTATTTAGGAAATGACATACAGTACAAGACACTGAAAGTTAATTAATAAAGGACATTCTTCTGCAAATATAGATATTTTCCCTCCATTTTAAATAATCTAGATGCATTTTGTTTTAAATATTCTACAAACATTTTCCCCTCATTTAACTTATATCATGGCCTTAAAGGTTAAGTGTTTAAAGGTTTTAATAATTTATGATTATTTACAAAGCACAATTTTCAGGTTGTTAAATTGTGTCAAACTACTCAGGCACTTGCAATTCAGCTTAAATTAGGACACCAATCAATAGCTGAGAGCCTATTTGGTGCATAAGACTGTCAACCAAATGTGATTATATGTAATTAAGCAATATGATAACAAAAGAGAGATAATTACAAAGGTGGCAAACTTGGTGAAAAGTTATTTCAGTTCACACAATAGCAATATTCCAGCAGAATATGTGAATTATTTTGATTAAATTTTTAAGTACCTTAACATCATTATTCTTGGAAGAAGATGAGATTAAATAAAGCTTATCTTGATGTTCAAAAATAATTACATGAAAAGATAAATTCAACAATCAACAAAAACGAAGACATTTAGGTTATTTTGGAATAGGAATTTGGCTTGTGCTTTTTACTAATGTTATTAGCATGTATATCAAGTCAATGATTTTAGATTAAAAGATGTATAATTCTGTATCAATTTATCTAAAGATAGATTTGAAAAAAGCAAATGGTATGTAATTGCAGTATTTGTGATACTTCCTAAATTTAATTTTTTTCCCTTTTAATGTTCCCTCTTTAAATATCTTTTGTCTTTCTAGTTTCTTTCCTCACCTATTCTTCTTTCAACAATGTTTATGATAAACTGAATCAGGTCTTGGACTATGGCAAAGTTGCCATCAGAAACTACTAAGTAAAAATATTTTGGCTAAAATTTTACCTCCAAAAGCACATTTGTAATACACATATATGCATATGTTCATTTTATATTACCATAATTTTCTAATATTTTATCATAAAAAATAAAATTTTCAAACATATAGGAGAGTTGAAAAATGTTTAAAGAGAGCAACTGCATAACCATTTGTTGGTTATATTATTTAAACTAAAACTGATCATTCAAAAATCATGCCATAATATGTTACACTTCTAAAGATTAGCACAATGTCTTACATTTGTGCAAATACAGAATACAGGATAGTTACTATAGAAAGAGGCAGTCTGGTGTCCTGGAAAGAGTACAGCTATTGGAATCAGGCTGCCTGGGTTCAGGTCTCAGACTTGATGCTCAGAAACTGGGTTGACGATGGACAAGTTGCTTGATCTTTCTGTTCTTTAGTTTCTTCAAAATGGTACAAAATCATTACTTCCCTCAAAAGGTTATTGTGAGAATAAATAGTATAATATGTAATGTTCTTAGAACAACCGGCCTTTGTACATAATAAGCATTCAATAAATGTTGACTGTTATAAAATATTATGAATTTCTTCTGGCCCATAATCAGACTTTAGCAGTTAATTTTTCCAAATGGTATCACTAATTAAGTTAGAGTAGTATTTTTAGTCTTGAAAATATTTTTAGTAGATACTGTGTGGTTCTGAGTATTGAGTTCTAATTTCAGCTCTGCCATACAACCTACGTCACTTAACATTTTGGTTCTCAATTTCCTTACTTGCAAAGTGAAAAATGATTAAATAATCTAGCTCAATATTATATTCTAGTAATCTAAGGCAGACAGACTGACATTTTTTTTTTTTGGAAAGGCCCAGAGAATAAATATTTTAGTCTTTGTGAGCCAAGCAGCAAAACTGAGGATATTTACATATTTCATGGGTATTTATATGGCCATTAATATGTAATTATTTTAAAATGTCAAAACCATTATTAGCTCTTGGGCCACACGAAAACAGGCGATGGGCAGATGTGGCCTGCGGGTCATAGTTTGCCAATCCCTGACCAGGAAGGAAACAGGACTGGTGTGTTATGTGCTAGTACGAACATCATTCTTAGTTACGATAACTGAGAATTTGTCCATCTTTTTCTATATCAGCACACACCTGGTTTTCCAGGTCAGCCTTCTTTTGTTTATTTAATTCAAGTGTGTCTTGAAGCCTGGCCAGCTTGTCCTGAACTTCCTTAAGGGCTGCCTGCTTCTTTCTAAGACCATCCATGGCAATTTTAAGCTCCCCTTCAGCTGCAGCCAGTTTTATCTTTTTGGGAGCTACTATTTTTGCCACTCTGCAAAAAGTAAAATTGAAAAATTAAATATTCATTTAATATTCCAGTACACTTTCTATCACTGAATTTACTTTTCTAATACCCTTACTATAACTGAAAACACTTCTTTATGCAAAAATCTAAACCGATTTCCATATTTCCTGTTTCATCTAACAATCATCCAAACTTGATCCTGGACACAAGAAATGGCCTTTTATTAAAATAGACATCAAATATACAAAAAACATTTTGCCAGTATGAATTTTGATAACTTTCCAAAAGGAGAGTAGGATAGTCATGTAGAATATTACAATGTTATTAGAAGCCTAATTGGTTAAAGGTGAGTTTTCATGAGAAAGTGAGGTATCTTTTATCTTTGTCATTTTACTTAAAAAAATCCTAGAATACATCAACCAAAAACAGTTATCCTATAAATACGTATGTGGTAATAAAAGGAATTATATAGGAAAAAGGATGGATCTAAATTCTCTCCCTAGTATCTGGAAAATGGAGTCAGTCATGTTATCTAACAAACATTAAATTAATCATTAACTAATATCATGGTCTGAAACATATATAGCACTACTATATATATAGAATGATTAAAATTGGATATGAGTTTGAAAAACATCCTATGACAGTTGTTTTTTGAAAAAATAATAATTACCCTGTTTTGCGTATGATATAACTAGTTCTCATATAATCACCAAAAAAGGCTCCTTATTTCACAAGAATACATTATGCCAGTGGTTTTTAAAGTGTGGTCCAAGGACCCCTGGGGATCCTGACGACACTTGCCCCTTTGGGGAGCTCACGAGGTCTTCCCTCGTCCAACTAAACCTCTGTGTGATGGTGGATTTTTTTTTAATATACTTTAATTAAAACAACATATTGCAACAGAATGAATGAAGAAGCAGATTTTGGTGTCTGGCTATCTCACATTAAACCACACATTAAAGAGATTTGTAAAAGTATAATAAAATACCACTCTTCTCATCAGTATTTTTTTCTATTTTTAAAAGAAAAACATGTAAATTTATAAAAAATAAAAATAAATCACTTGTATTAACATGTAACATTTTTATTGCTTTTTAAGATGAATTAATAAACATTTTTAAAATTTTTCCATTTTAATTTCTAATATGGTAAATAAACAAAATTTTATTGGGGTCTTCAATACTTTTTAAGAGTATAAACAGTTCCTGAGTCCAAAAAGTTTAAGAACCACTGTATTATACTATTAGTTGGCATAATCTTGCCTCCAGTAAATATGCAAACACAAAGCAAATTCAGACAGGATTTTCCAAGGAGCCTCTCACTTACATAACTTTTAAATTGTATATTTTCTAACTGACCAGAAGTGAAGACAGACCATACCAGCTGGATTTCTTTTTATCAGCACTTACTTATCATATGAATCCATTGCTATGACCCATTTGCACAGACCTTCGGCCGCTGTAGAAGCATTTCTGATTTTTTCTGGTACAAAATCTGGATTTGGAATATAATTTTTTCTTATGATATTCATATAAGCTGGAGGAATATTGTCCTTGTCATATTCATGAAGTGACTGCAGAAACCTCATGTCACCAAGAAGTCTCTTAGCTGGGCCCCAGAAATCCTCAATTTTTTTCCCTGAACCTGTTGGGTCAGGGATTTTGTCAGCTTTGATTCCTTTCAAGATGCATATAGCTTCCATAACAAGCTTGACACCAGCAGGAGGACTCTTCATGGATTTTACCACTGTAATATCCTTGAAATAACAACGTTAATTATTTTAAAAGACATGTTTGTTTATACAGTAATTGTAAGTGGTTCCTATTTTCAAACTAAGCATACAGAAACTCACTGTGTTCACTGGGTAGAAATGGTGACAGTAATAGAACTGCACTTACACTTTTCTCCTCAGTCCCACCCAAAAGTTTAGCCAAAATTCTCTGCACTATTTATTTTAAAAATCTATCTTCATCTTTCTAAATTAAAATATTCCCCTTTCACATCTTAACTTTTAATACACCTCATGAAATCTAAGACATTGCTATTGTAAAATAAATTATTATAAAACACATTATTATTTTATGTATCCCCCCAAAAAAAATCACTGGCAAAATTAATACTTTATCACATGCTCTATAAGATGTATTCCAATGACAAGTGTGTCTAAATATGAAAAAGGTACCCCTTAGAATCAAAATATAATCTCAAAGCTTATGTCTTTGTTGATTACTGCAGTGCAAAGATGTATGAAGTTCTTGAAATAACTGTTGCTTTATGGTAGGCTATAACATCTGGCCGCTTTCTTCCATTTCAAAGGTGTTTTTGCATGCACATGCATTTCTTTTTCAAGTCAATTAGGGAATTCTTTTGCCAATTTCAAAATGATTTCAGCTTCATTAAAATTTCAGGCTAATTCGGAGAGACAAACTAGACTAGAACACAATGCTAATTTCTTTCTTGGGCTATGATGACATGTGTCCTAGAAAGTGTATGGCGAAGCTCTTACCTGTGCAGTAAGAGTATCAAGGGCGGCCAGTGCTGACTCTAATATTGGCAAGGCACCTGCCAGGTCAGCATCGCACTCATCTTTGATGGCTTTGGAAGCCATAGCTTGTTCATTCGCTATTGTTTCATCAGCTTTCACTATTTTTTCAGTTTTGGCAACTTCTACAGACTCTTTCTCAATCATTATCATCATTTCATCAACCTCTTTGCTAGCAACTTTTAATTGAGGATGTAGTGCCTCCAACTCCATCTGCATTGTGGCTACTTGAGATGAAGCAGAATCCAGTTTCTCCAAACCCACTTCATATCTCTTTTTCATTTTCATTACTTCACTGGAAGGAAATAGATAAAACAAAGTTAATCATGAGGCTCTGTATCCTACATGAAGGAAAAACTTAAGTGTTTCTGAGCTTTCTAGGCTTTTTCAAGACATAACTACGGAGTGGTCTAAAAGATTTTCATATAAATGACAATCTGTCAAAACATGAAACCTAGAATGTCGGATTTGTGCACAATTAAGAGCAGACAGCGTGTTTTATTCATTTTTGTGTTTTCAGTACCTATATGTTATCAACGCATACAACAGAAATTCAAAAGAATAAATACACTGGCGATGAGGCAAGGAGTCTCCTGTATCAAAATGAATGATGTACCTCTAAAGTTGGTAAGTTGATCCCAGCAACACTACTGCTGCTTTAAACCTTTTTATGATCACTTATTTTAAACGCACTTCAGTGCTCAAAATATATTATTTTGAATGTTTCCAAATGTGAAAAAATGATTTTAACATGTATTATACATCTTGAAACAAGAGATTTGTTTTATTAAAGAAAAAGTAACAAATAGAGCAGATCATAAAGCTCAATACCCTGTTTGGTGCAAAATGATTATAAAGTAATAACAAATGATTAGAAATAATGTAATATTTTAGCATATTTTAAAAGTTTAATATTTTAATGTAGTCAAAAATTTAATCTGCATTTATCTGCAAATATATATATATGTCTCTATAGAGAAAACTCTTCTTTATAATTTCATTTTAAAATACTTGATATACCATAATGTCTCCAAGTAAAAAAATGACATGTTTTTAAAATCCCCTTCAAAAAACAGACTGGAGTAGTAAGGAACTGGCTTGAGCTGGAAAAGGTAACCTGGAGAACACTGAAAGGATTATAATTTTTGTTTTAAAAAAATTCATAAGTGAGAGCATGCTACATTTTTGTCACATGTCAAATTCCCTGAGTGTGCAAAATATTAGAAAGTAATGGGAACAGAGGGGACCGAATGTATGGCCTGTATTATCTGTGAGTTTGGTTTCAGCTGAAACCTTGTGCAACAAGCATAGGAAAGGTCTCATTCCTGCCAGCCTGAGACAGTTTCAATATGGTGGCTAATCCCAAGTGACGCTTTGCTAGCTTAACCATAGATTTCCTTCCAAGTAACCTGAAAACTTGCTTCTAGGTTACAGCACTACCTGGCTGTCGTGATCTGAAGGCTTTAGCTATTATGGGAAGAATAATCACAGGATAGGAATTCTAGTTGAGGTAAAGGATAATTTAATATCTTTTTTTTTCATTTGCAAGGAATTTTGAAAAGAAAAAATTTGAAAAAGGAAAATTTGAAGGGCAAATAAGAATATTTGAAAATACCTTAAAAACTATGACTTTCAACCTGTAAGTTTGAACTTATAACTTTGTAACTTTAAAACTTATAACCAATAAGTTTAAACTCTTCCTATAAGTTTGCCTCTCATTTTTATAATCCTTTTTTTTGTTAGGGTGGCCTTACTATTGTGAGTGCAGAGTCAAACAAAAGCCATGAGTGATATCCAAAATTTAATCAATCTCCAAGAGCTTTTGATCCTCCTGGATAAGAAAATATGAAAAAAAGCAAGTTTCCATTATGTTAAAGATCATAAGCTCGACACAGAAAGACAATTATCTTGAGAGCCAAAGAAATAATAAATTCCAGCCAAGCTATGCAGCAGTCACGGTGGGCACTGCCGATTTCACTAGGTAGTTGAAAAATTCCTAAAGGTATGATTCAAACACAGGGTTGTAGACCACAGTGACTATGACAGTCCTGTTGGGAGGGCACAGCAATAGTTACTATGAATACAGATGAGGAGTGTCATATCCATATCCAGGTAGCATGCTGCCCAATATGAGAAAAGGTCCTTCAAAATGCTTGAGATAGTGGGTTAGCCATAGGAAGATTTAGAATTAACCATAGAAATATATATAAAAATCAAACTCATAGTATTAATATTTTTATATTATCTGTGCACATTTGTTGTTTTATGTATTCTTTTTAATCTTTAAAAGAATTTGGTCTGTTCAATTCGTGGATCAGGCTTGAGCTTTCAATATAAATCATGTGTCTGAGCAGTAAATTTACATTTGTGCTTTTAAGTAAAAATCATATTAATTTATAGATAATATTCAAACATTTAAAAGTACTTAAGGCTTACCATATGTATACGTTTAAAATACTAGACTTATAAATTATTTAAGTATCTAGTAATGTTTGATTTGTTAAATCAGAACTTAAAAGGGAAATATAAATAATGTATTAAAAATTTTATTTAAACAAGCTTTTGAATGGAGCCACACATTAATCCAAGGTCCCCTTTAAAGGTAACCACTAAAATGTTCCAAACTTCCTACTTTCTACCTTAATGTTATAATGTTTTTAAATTTTGTAATATACATACTGAATTTTAATTTTTGGAACCAAAGAAATATTTGAATAAACTTCTGTGCACACACAAGTCACCCTCCAGAACATTAAAAAAACTCACATTGACACTTTCTATAGCAGGTAAGTTTACTCATGTTTATATTGATGTTTTCAAATGACAGTTTATTAGAGAGTGGCTGTCCCTCCCTAGAGTCTCAGCTGTTCAGTATTCAAAGAGAGGGTTTAACTATTACCCAATTATTTATCAGAGAAAAATCACTCTCTACTAGTGTTTACTCAATATTCACAGCTCTGGTTGGAATATCTTCATTCTTCCAAGAGTTATTATGCATCTATGATGTGCTAGGCAATGTGCCCATATGAGAAGGATAAGACCCCTCCCTAAATTCAAAATGTCTGTGGATTAAATAATTTAAAGATGTAACAAAACTTACAGTATATTTCTACGAAATAAATCTCCATTATATATTATGTCGTTTTTGCACACACAAGTATTTTTAATTGCCATAGCTTACTTAGAAATATGAAATTTGATTTTTACCTTCTTTTCTTTTCTAACAACAGTTTGAAGGTGGAGATTAATTCGAGGTAAGAGGTAGGAGTCACATAATTGTATCTTTGAAGTTCAACAAAGAAAGATTTGGATAAATCTATAGTAGAAGTGTGGAAGCTTTTACACATGTCGATACAGCCATCTCGTATTTCCTCTGACATTTCAATTTCTTCCAAGAATCGTGAGGCAACTGCCTGGAGTGCATCTTCAGGCCATGACTAAATGTAAGATAAATGCTTTAGCATTTTATTAAGATTACGAATCTGGATCTGCTACTACTGCAGCCCTTTACAACTTATGGATGTTGGGGGTGAAGGGGAATAGTGTGAGGGATGGTGTGGGAGAGACAATTTCATAAGAAACTTTCCCGAGGACTTGCATACTTAGGGGAGGGAGCCAGGAGCTAGTTAGTGCATATAACATTCACTGTGTGTGGTTTGTTCTGAGATTAGAGAAATTGTTCATGAGTGTTGCAGGAGAAAGGAAAGGCAAATGAACTAAATTTATGGAATGTCTATTTCTGTATGCATTTTACTGGTATTATCTCATTTAATTCTCCTAACATTTCCCTGAGAATGATGTAGGCATTATTCCTGAAATAGCTTCCAAATCCTCTCTTCTTTCTTTGTCTACCTCAATCATCCCAATTCAAGCCTCCACTATCATCTGCCTGGAAGATTCCAGTAGCATCCAAACTGCTTGCATTCTCTACATAGCTGCAAGAGTGAGCTTTTCAAAATATAAATCAGCTCATGTCACACTCCCCAATTTATAACCAAAGACTTCCTAGAATTCTTAAAATCCGAACCAACTTGCCAATCTCTAACTGATTTGACCCTTCCCACATTTCTGAACTGTTATACCACTTCCCCCCACAGTTCCTGTGCTCCTGTCACCCTGATTTTCTGTCACCCTCTCCTTCCTTCTGTCTAGACACTTGACTTCACTAGTTTATCCTCTCTGCTCAGATCTCAATACTGACACTTTTTTGTCTTTCCAGTTTCCTCTTCAAACCCTTAATTGGTCCCTTATTTAAAAAGTATTTACCTGTAATCCCAGCACTTTGGGAGGCCGAGGCGGGCAGATCACCTGAGGTCAGGAGTTCAAGACCAGCCTGGCCAACATGGTGAAATCCCGTCTCTACTAAAAATACAAAAATTAGCCAGGAATGGTGGTGGGTGCCTGTAATCCCAGCTACTTGGGAGGTTGAGGCAGAAGAATTGCTTGAACCTGGGAGGCAGAGGTTGCAGTGAGCCAAGATTGTACCACTGCACTCCAGCCAGGGTGACAAGAGTGAGACTGCATCTCAAAACAACAAACACAACAACAAAGCATTTACTCCCTATTTGCTACCCTGTCTGATGAAATTGTGTTTTGCTTATTTGTCTGTAGACAAGAAGCTCAAGGAGAGCAGAGGTCTTGTCTATTTCATGTGCTTCATCTCCAGCTTTTAGATTAAGACTTGCTACAAAGCAAAACAGAATTCAATAAATGTTTTGCATGAAATAATTAATTTTACCAGGAAGTAGAGATACAGAGAGGTTCTGTAAACTTTCCAAGGTCATAAATGCTTATCTGTCAAAACCCACTCACGGGATCTCAGTCACAGCCCACAGATTTTTTACCACACAGGTAGAGAATGCATTGTGATATGCTGTTAAAGCCAGAAGGGAGAATTAAATTACTATTCACATCTAGCTAGTTACTCTTCCTTTGCTACTCCCCTTCCCCACCCCTCGTTCCTACCCCCCATCCATTCGCTGCCTTTTTCTGCTCTGCTCTGTACTTCCCAGTACTGAAGTCCACAGAAAAAAAGGTCACTCTGGCTTTCTCGCTCTTAACTCCTTTGGGTTTAGCTAATGGGAAGAGATTGGGGGCAGGGTGGAAGAAGTGAGACACAGGGGTATTTTGATCCTCCCTTCCTTTCCAGCCGTAGCTGAGTTCTACGTTTCTGGTTCCTATTCCTGTTGGGCAGTCTTATATCCACAGCTCTAAGCTCTGACTTTCATACACGGTTATAGTAACACTTCCTGCTATTGCTCCACCTACCACTTCCTGAGTGTTCCAACATCCCCTCTTGGTTCCCTTAACCCTGCCTACCCCTCTGTGAACAGTTCCTTCATTATGCTTTCTTCGGTGAAGGGTTCAAGGTTGCTCTGTGCTTCCTGTCAGGACTCTGATACACAATTTTATCATAACACTTCCTATAATATATTGAAGTTAGTGATCACATATATTCTTAATAAATACTTTTCTATTATAATTTCTTGAATTATAATTTCATAAGATATAACTGATCAGAAGATTCTGCTAAACAATATTTTGGGGTAAACTACAGGTTGGGAATCTATAAAATAAGTCATGATGATAGTGGAAATTCAACATTTCTAGAAGTCTATCTAAAATGTACATGACAATACCTGAAACCAGTCAATGGTACAGCAGTTAACAAGAGCAGGGAACTTTCTAAGACGATTCCGAAATGCATCTCCAATGGGACTCATGGCAAGGACCACATGCAGTTGGCTGCGGCAATGATCAATAAACATGTTGAAAAGGGCTATGGGGCTGCCATCTGTTTGCTTGGTTTTATCCCGCTGGCGATCTAACTGACGCATCTTATCACATATCTCTTGCTTCTCATCTAATGCAAAGAGATTTGGAATCTCCCCAGCATTTAGCAGATTACTGACATCTTCCAGAAAAGACTCTTCTTTAATTTGAGTATCTGTAAACAGGAAGACACCCTGCATCTCACCTTCCGCACATTTCCTTAAGATCACTTTTAAATCTTCATGCCATTCAGTAGTATCATACCCCTTAGAGATTTCAACTTGGAAAACTGAATAATCAGCCATGTGGGCAGCTAATCTGGTGACAGACTGCCTTCCACTCCCTCCAACCCCTACTAGGAGAGCATGGCTGCGAGGCTGCTTCAGGATCCTGGAAATTCTGCTGATGTGCTCTATGGCAAATCGAAACAAGACAAGGTTCATGGGTTTTTTGCTTATATTGTTGTATTCTTCTAGGTGAATTTCTACTATCATTCGAAGATTATCCACATCTGCGATTTCTCTGTAGTTGGTATCCTCCCTCTTGGGATCATGGAAATCACAAAACATTAAGCTGCGTAAGTCATCTGCTTCCACCATGCCATCATTATCAAAATCCAAACGCTGAAAAAGCTCATGAAAATCTTCATACATGTAGTTTCTCAAAATTTCTTGAATGTAGTTGATGAGCCAGCTTCTGTCTGTATTGTCCAGAAGGCGGTCATAATACACTCGAAGGACCTGTATAATAATTAAAAAGCAGCTTTAGAAACTTTCTTCTGATTTTTAAGAAAGTGTTATTATATCTGTGCTAATCTCAGGTAATAAAAATATTAGAAAATTTCTGCAGGTTTTATTAAAAGTATATCCAAATAATCAGGACTGATTCACAATAATGTTATTTTAAATGTTAATTTTAACTCTATATTTAGAATAATAAGGTTATAGTCAGTTATCAATCAATGAAAGGTAATTTTGGGGGTGGGAGCTGAAGCAGATGTAGAGATGCTAAGAGAATTAAGGCCTTGAGAAGTTAGTGACTGCCTTTGCTGGCTGCTCAGATGTGGATAGCAGAGCTGGGCACCAGTACCCAGGGGGTACCCAACACCTTTCCAGTGATGTTTCCTTTTTCTAAGATAGATAACATTTTGAAAGTTATTGACAAATCAATAGTTTTTGCTTTTGTTTTTGTTTTTCAAAAAGCACATTTTCTAGAACAGGAAATGTCTTGGGTAGAGGGAGAGTTGTTTGGGATACCTGTTAATTATTTTTGTTTTAAGTCGTTACAGAGAGCAATCTACTAAAATAAATCTCCGGTTATATGCACATGTTATGGGACTGCAAGAAACATCAGGCTTGCTACATGTAGCAACTGTTTTCTTAAAGAAGTGTGTCCCAGGGGTACAGTCTATTTTGGACTGAATTGTGTCCCCCCAAAATTCTTATGTTGAAGCCATAACTCTCAATGTGACTGGATTTGGGGATAGGGCCTTTAAGGAAGCAATTAAGGTTAAATTAAGTCATAAGGGTAGGGCCCTAATCTTATAGGATAGTGTCCTTATAAGGAGAGGAAGAGGCATTAAAGCGCTCTCTCCCTCTCTCTCTCTGGTTCTTGTTTCTGTTGGGCAGCCCTTATATGCACAGAGGAAGGGCCATGTGAGGACACAGAGACAAGGTGGCTTTAGCAAGCCAGCGTGAGAAAATAAATTTCTGTTGTTTAAGCCACTTAGTCTGTATTATTTTGTTAATGGCCAACTAATACATATATGCTATAAATAATGCATATTTCGTCAGTGGAACGTTGGATCCTTACTCTGCTCTACCATTTTGAGTAAATCACTGAAAATGTCTGCATCAACTTCTTCACCTATAAAATAGAAGTAGTATTACCTACCTCGCAAATCTCATAGATTTGGGGAAAAAGTAACATGACAAAATATGTGAAAACACTGTAGAATTCAAATAGATAATTACTGCAAATTGCCCTAGCATTAAGGTTAATGGTGTTCAGGAATCGTGGTTTTAGTGTATTGTTATCAAATTGATGATTTCATAGTGTTATCCTTTTTTTTTTTCACTAATAGTGTCTGCATAAGCAAATGGTATTATTTAAACTTCCTTCTTATTCCAACCAGTTCAAAAGTTATTTCTCTGTGAGACAATCTAATTTCCCAATACATGCCAATGGCCAATCTTTGAATTGAGGTACTTAAGATCTCAGACAATATTCCTAAATTAAGTCAACTTCATGTATCAGGATCAATGCCTAAGCATGAAACAAGTATATTATTATCTAGCTGGCAGTTTAGCAAGAACCTATAGCAGCATTTCTCAAAGACAGTCAACACATCTGCATTAAAATCATCTGAGGTACTTATTCAAAATGCAAATTCCTGGGCCCCACAGTGGATCTGTTGACTTAAAAACACAGAGGATGATTCCTGGGAATATCTTTCCATTTCTTTTTGTTTTTTCTTTTTCCTTATTTAAGGTACAGATATGGTTTGGCTGTGTTCCCACCTAAATCTCATCTTGAATTCCCACGTGTTGTGGGAGGAACCTGGTGGGAGGCAATTGAATCATGGGGTGGGTCTTTCCCGTGCTGTTCTTATGATAGTGAATAAGTCTCACGAGACCTGATGGTTTTAAAAAGGGGAGTTTCCCTGCACAATCTCTCTTCTCCTGTCTGCCACCATGTGAGAGATGCCTTTCACCTTCCACCATGATTGTGAGGCATCACTAGACATGTGGAACTGTAAGTCCAATAAACCTCTTTCTTTTGTAAATTGCCCAGTCTCGGGTATGTCTTTATCAGCAGCATGAAAATGGACTAATACAGGTACAACAATCTTAAGTGTACAGCTCAAAGAATTTTGGCACACAGTTATACATCCATGTAACCACCACCAAGATCAAGATATAAAATTTCCAGCACCTTAGTAAGCTCCCTCATGCTCACTACTGTTGGTCCCTGCTTTCCTCCCTCCCCAACAAGGAACCATTATTCTATCACCACCTCTCACATTTTAAAAAGTTGACACTTAAAACTTTCTATTATAAATCTAAATTGTTGCAAAGGATATAATTTCTGGTATATTTATATTGTAATTTGTGCTTTGAATTTATTTACCTCAAAGTCTTGATTGCAGACTTTTAAAATTGAGATATAATTCATGGACCATAAAATTCATTCTTTAAAAGAATACAGAATCAGAATATTCACAAAGTTGTGCAACCATCACAACTATCTCCCTCCAGAACTTTATCATCACCCCAGAAAGAAACCTGGTACCCAATAGAAGCTACTTCTCATTACCACCAGCCCTGGCCAACACTAATCTATTTACTATCTCTATGGAACTAACTTGCTTATTCTGGATATATGATATAAATGAATCATATCATAGGTGACCTTTTGTGTATGGACTTTTTAACTTAGCACAATGTTTCTAGGTTCATCTATGTTGTAGGATATATGAGTATTTCTTTTTAGGACTGAATACAATTCCACAGTATGTATTTACAATATTTTGTTTGTCCACTCATCAGCTGATGGATATTTGGGTTGTTTCTACTTTTTGGCTATTATAAATAATTCTGCTAATAATATTCATGTACAAGTTTTTGCATGGACATGTATCAGTTCTTCTGGGTCCACAGTTAGGAGTGGAACTGCTAGGTCATATGGTAACCCTATGTTTTAACCTTTTGATGACCTACCAAACTGTTTTCTATATTACATTACTGCCAGCTATGTATGAGGGTTCCAATTCTTCCACATGCTCACCAACACTGTTCTATTATTCATCTTTTTTTTTTTTTTTTTTTTTTTTGAGACAGAGTCTCGCTCTGTCACCCAGGTTGGAGTGCAGTGGTGCGATCTCGGCTCACTGCAAGCTCCGCCTCCCGGGTTCATGCCATTCTCCTGCCTCAGCCTCTCTGAGTAGCTGGGACTACAGGTGCCCGCCACCACACCCGGCTAATTTTTTGTATTTTTAGTAGAGACAGGGTTTCACCATGGTCTCGATCTCCTGACCTCATGATCCGCCTGCCTCGGCCTCCCAAAGTGCTGGGATTACAGGTGTGAGCCACCACGCCTGGCCTATTATTCATCTTTTTTATTACAGCCATCCTATTGAGTGTGAAAGGTACTTAATGGCAGTTTTGATTTGTATTTCCCTAATGACTAATCATGTCCTTATTGGCCATTTGTATATCATCTTTGGAGCGATGTCTTTGAATCCTTTGCTCACTTTTAAATTGCATTATTAGTCTTTTATTGTTGAGTTATAACAGTTCTTTATGTATTGTGGATACTAGATACTTAACAGTTTATATGATTTGCAGGTATTTTATCCCATTCTATATATTGTCTTTTCATTTTTTGGATGGTGTTTTTTGAAGCATAAAATTTTTTAATTTTGATGAAACATATTCATCTATTTTGGGGGTCTTGTTTTTGCAGAATATCTGTATTTAACAAGCAAACCAGGTGATACGTGCATTAACTAATGTCTCAGAGCCATGGAGAAGCCAAAGGGAATGAGTTGTCAGTTTTATACCTTAGAAACCATTTAGTGAAATTATATAAGGTTATCTAGTATGATAATGATGTCTGGAAAGGAAAAAGACATGTAAAGTAGTCTCTAACATATATTAAACCCTGAAGAAATATTTTCTGAGTGAACAGAAATAAAGCACAAATTAGTGTTAAGTTCAATTGTTGCAGGACTTTTCCTTAGTTCAGCTAAAGGTGGGGTCCTTGTTACACAGCCATGAAAATTTTGCCTCACAGACTATTTGAATGGTGAGTAAAACAGGTTTTATTGAGTGAAAGTGAAGAAAAGGGGGAAACAGGGACTCTCCACAAGGCCAGCGTCCCTTCTAGAGTGCTTCCCACCCTGCAGATTGAATCCCAGGTTCCATCCAGGAAGAAGAGGGGCCAGGCTCCTCCCCACTGCAAACAGCATGAACTTCTGTGGTTCCACCCCAGTGCACTGGCTGGCTGGAGTTTCTCGGGGGATCCCTTCCCACCTACTGTCTCACAATTACCTCATATTTTTAAAGATGTTGAGAATAATGTACCAAACATCCTTCTTGGCACTGCAGTAAGAAAAAAAAAAGAGAGAGGAAAATCTCTGCTCTCATGGGGCTTGCCTGCTATCTGAGGGAGATGAACAACACATATAACGAATGAATTCTACAACATGTTGGACGTTGGAAAATATTATGAAAAGAAGTAAAATAGGACAGGATAAGAAAGACTGGAACTACTAGGATAGGGGAGGGGAGTCAGGCTGTGGTATTAAAAAGCTTCAACTAGAAAGAAGAATTTGATCAAAGGCAGGGAAGGAGCTATTCCAGAGCATCAATATCTGGGGGAAATATTGCAGGCAGAAGAGAATAGCCAGGAGACCTGTACTGCTGGTGAAAGGGGGATGAGGATGAGAGCAGGAGGCAGCCTGAGGGGAACAGGCTAAGAGGAACACATCCCAGATCCCATGGGCCACTGGACTTTTATCCGAAATTCCTCTGAATGAAGTAGGGTGCTAATACAAGGTTTTGAGCTGAGGACTAAATTCATTATGTTTTATATAGGTATGTATAAATATGAAGTAGTAAACCTCACTAAATGCCCAAAGAGCTCAACAACCATTATCAAAACTCAATAATCTGACATCTAAAGCAGCACAGAATCTAAAAAACTCTTAAAAGTAATTATGTCTAACACATATACAATAGCACAAACAACCTATTCCCATGATTGGAAGAAAGCACTGTTATGTATAATCTCAAGTGACAGAACATGTCATGTGTAGCAAGCCTGCCTGCCTTCCTCTCTTTATGCACTCATTCATTCACCAATATTTATTGAGTGTTTTCTGTGTGCCAGGCACTGGGAAAACCAGCGCATAAATATAACTGCTATTCTCATAAAGTTTCTATTATTGCAAAGACAATAAGTAAGCCCCAAATTTAGAAGGTGTCAGGTGATGTTCAATGTTATGAAGAACAAAGCAAGGTAAGCAGTAAAAAATCAAGGGGGGTAGGGATGGCCCAAAGCAAGCTTGCATGAAAAGGGGGTATTTCAGCAAAAATCTGAAGGAAGGAAGTGGGCAAGCCTGCAGATAACAGAGAAAGAGTGTTCTAGGCAGAAGGAATATCAAGGGCAAAGTTACTGAGGTGGAGGATGCCAAATGCTTCCTCGTGAGTTAGATTCACCCATGACAAAATGCTGCCTTCAGCAATGCAATCTGCTATGGTTTCAATGTTTATGTTCCCCCTAAATTTATATGTTGAAATCCTCACCCCCAAGGTGATAGTATTGCAGTGGAGACTCTGGGAGGTAATTAGGTCATGGGAGCAGAACCCTCATGAATGGAATTAGTGCCTTTATAAAAGAGGCCAGAGAGCCCATTGCCCCTTCCACCATTTGAGGACATGGTGAGAAGGCACCACCTATAACTAGAAAACAATCCCTCACCAGACATGAAATCTGCCAGTGCCTTGATCTTGAACTTTCCAGCCTCCAGAACTGTGAGAAATTAATTTCAGTTTGTTGACAAGCCACCCAGTTTAGGTACGTTTTATAACAGCCTGAATGGACTAAGGCATGCTCCTTGAATGAATTCAGCATCATCCTCCCTGTTCACTTCCCCCACACTCTCCAGCTCTCAGTACATTTCTATTACCCATGTGGCCCCCAAACACAAGCCTGCATCCGTATCCTGGGAAGTGGGTCCCATTCAGGCAATTAGGTAACCTGCTGTGGAGTGCTATAAGAATCTCTACATCATCCTTTCCAAAGAATCACTTTTGGAGACCTTGTTGTGGCCAAAACATGCAAGTGGAACGGATCTTCACGTGGACATATATTTGAATGTGTGATGATTTAGGAATTCAAACTGTATATCTAAAAAGTCCAGAGAAACTGGATTTTTAAAAGACCTTTTGAAATTTATATCTCTGTAGTACATGGTTGTAACACAGTAGCACATTCTCGTGTTCTATGTTTCTTAACTGCATATTAAAATTAAAATAAGGGTCTTGCTCTATCACCCAGGCTGAAGCGCAGTGGTGCCATCATAGCTCACTGCATCCTCAAACTCCTAACTTCAAGCAATTCTCCCGCCTCAGCCTCCTGAAGTGCTGGGATTACAGGCATGAGCCTCCTCTACCACTTCTTATAAGAAAATGCTCATCCACATACCTATTCCCAAGAGAGCTTAAATACATTTTTATATAGTTTCTATGCTCTCAAGAATTTGCTTTGCAATTCTTTTGGCATCTAGTAATACTATACAAATAAGTAATGTAAAAAAAAAAAACCACATTCACTTCTTATAAAAACATCTCCTTAAAAAGTGTTCCATTTCAAATTTATTTGAAGTCAAACTAACAAGGATTAAACTACTTAAGGGAAGGCGGATCACGAGGTCAGGAGATCGAGACCATCCCGGCTAAAACGGTGAAACCCCGTCTCTACTAAAAATACAAAAAATTAGCCGGGCGTAGTGGCGGGCGCCTGTAGTCCCAGCTACTTGGGAGGCTTAGGCAGGAGAATGGCGTGAACCCGGGAGGTGGAGCTTGCAGTGAGCCGAGATCCCGCCACTGCACTCCAGCCTGGGCGACAGAGCGAGACTCCGTCTCAAAAAAAAAAAAAAAAAAAAAAAAAAAAAAAAAAAAAAACTACTTAAGGGAAACTGGTTCAAAGTGACACCTACTTTGAAATATTCTATAAATCAACAGAAATTCCTAAATCTGCATATGGGAGATAAAGCATTTTAAACATCATAAAATATCTCAGTGTTAAATATTTTTAAAATTTTTCTGAACACTGGCCTTCAAAATGCCAAATAACTGAATATATTTCAGCAATATAAATTGAAGAATATTCTTTTTACCCAGTTGTTGGCATGGCAAATCTTTGTTTCTCACATAATCCCATTTCAATAACAGGAAAATTTACCTCATGAACCCAAAGACGTTTAATCACTTCTGTGGTTTCTGTTGTTTCTGGTCTTGACAAACAAACACCTTGAATGACACGGGAGAAATCACGGAGGTTGAACAAGTAGTGAGATTTAGCTGGAGTAGGCAAGAGATTCTTCATTGCTTCTTTATACAGAGTCATTGTGCCATTTACGATTTGTGTGGTCAAATCTAGAAATTCATCTGGAAATTTATAACTTAAAAATTTTTTAAATAAAAAGAAAGGAAAATGTTAGCAATTATAGAATTACGACACAAAAAGGATATTTAGCAGGACCAACATAAAATTTTAATTTTGATTAAATCAATTTCATTTATAAAATTACCATATCTTATTATAATAATAATACTAATAGATTTTTACTCCTTTTAAAGCTATTTTCCATGTACTATTTTATGTTATGTCCAAAAGACCCCTGTGAAATGAGCAGGGCCAGTTTAATGGACTTAAAATCACTTAAGTAAGTGAACAGAAGAGACAGCCAAGGAACCCAGATTATGTAATCCCAAATCCACTAGACAAGTATTTCCCGACCTCTTTCATTCCCTGGCATTCTCAACTGCATATAAATATAATCCATAAGGAACACTGGTGAAACAGGTATTTTCAGAGGAAAAAAAGGAAGAAAATTAAAATACGTAAAAAAAATAAGGAAAAGAGAAAAAAAGGAAAGTAAAACAGTGAGCCAAGACAAAGTGCATGATTAGAGTATAAAGAATGTAGAGAAATAATTTTCATTTAGAAAGATTGCCTATATTTAACTTCTGGTTTGTCTAGGAGCCAGGTGTTTACTCCATCATCACTGGATAAGGCAAGGAATGACAATTTCTTGAGAATGGGCATGGGCACACAGACAGACTTCCCCTGCCCAGGTCAGCTTGGCTCCCTGATATCTCTGCATCTTGTGGAGTAGCACAATCTCTGCAGCTAGGCAGCTCCAAGGCATTACTTCTCAGACTTGGACACGAATACCCCTGCAGAACTCAAGTTCTACTAGAGGGTATCAAAGTCACAGCATAAACCTGGTACATCTTTCCAGCAGTAATTGAACTCAGTGGTGAAAATTCAAAATAATAACTCAAACGTGAACATATTACATAGCAGAATGGTCAGACCTCTTTGTGTTATGCTCCCACACTGGGAGGTGGCAGGAACAGAGGCAAACGATGTTGTCTGTTAACTTTTCCTTATCTAGGAATGCTTTTGTTCTTTGAAATACGCTACTTAATATTGATATGTTTCTAAAATATTTTATACCTCCTAATTAAAAAAAAAACAAATTTTGATTACTTACCAGATTTCTAAATGCCAAGTTAAGATTCTAGAGAAGATTGTATACATGGATTTATCACTAAACTCATTGATTGTTATAATATTGAAATGTCGCATGTATCGAGGAGTTACTGGATTTCGACCACCACCTAAATATTAAAAAGTATAACTCTTAATAATGTTACTAGTATATACAAGAGTATTTTCTCAAATATTCTATAGTTTAAAGTAACTTGAAAGATGGACAAATTCACGGCACATGAAGTTAAGAGTAATCAATTGTTTGGATAACCCTGACATCAAAACTATTTTTCCCTCAAATTCAAGACGTTACTTTTCTAGGTGAATTATCTGAATGAGTTAAACTAATTAGACATAATCTTGAGTCAAAACTATATTACTAAGGGAAATCAGACCAGGCAGAAAAAGCCACAGGCCATGTTCTCCACAGTTTACAGCTTAAAGCAGTAAATGGTAAACATCCTCAATACAATATTAAAATGTAATATTATACAATATTAACGTAACTCTGGTGAATCTGACTGACCAAAGTTTAGGGTACTTCCCACAAGGCTCGAATTCAGCACAACCATGACATATAGCCAAATTCTTCCCCCACATCTTGAAGCGAATTTACCCAAGACGAGTCTATACAGTTCATATAGTGACTTCACTGGCTGCTTGCATCTTTAAAAATTGGGGGATTTTTCCACAAAATAATGAAAGATTCCTTTGAGCTTATACATTTCTTTTGGAAAATATAAAACAGTTTAAGGAGATGGTGAAAGGGTTGCAGAAGAAAAGATGGTAAGATCATCTACCCCAGCTCTGTCTCCAACCCTTCCAGAGAATGTTCAGAATTGTGATATTTTTAGAAAACAGAAATGGGGTCCGAAAGGAAAAGATACCTCATGGTTTCAGCATACTTTTCTTACCAATGCCTGAAGAGGCAGGGAAAAGTGGACATGTGAGTATAAATGCCTGGCTTGGGGTGGTGGGGGAGAGACAAAGTGGAACTGAAGTCTGAGACCCAGGAGCAATATGGTCTTTTATTTAAAAAAAAAAAAAACAGCCTGGGCATAATAATATGCCCCCAAGCCCTTGTCTCCACAAAATATGAAACAAAATTAGCCATGCATGGTGATGCATGCCTGTAGTCCTAGCTGCTCAGGAGGCTGAGGTGGGAGGATCACTTGAGCCCAGGAGTTTAAGGCTGCCGTGAGCTATGATCACACCACTGCACCCCACCTAAGCAACAGAGTGAGACCCTGTCTCAAAAACAAACAAACAGAAAGTGTTCAAAATGGCCCAGGGAATGTGCTGAGAGCAATTACTGACTCAGAACAAACTGCATTACAGGTCAGATAAAGGTCAGGGTTAGGGAGCAAATACCGGAGAGATTCCCTGAAGTGGTATATCAACACAAGCAACATTTTAAAAAATGGAATACTGGCTTGAAGAAAATAGTCAGGAAGAAAACAGTTAAAGATTTCTTGTTAGTAATCAAGCCATTTTAGACACCCCAGCATTAAAAAGCAAATTTCCTCTACACAGAGATTCCTTTGAGTATAAATTTATCTTGGAAAATTTAAAGGATCTTTTGGCCATTCCCTACTTAAATTCTTCTCAGCAGCCTGTTTAAATCCAGAGACTGACTTGAATGGGACTTGATTTGGGGTAGAATAAAGATGATTTCTGAAGCAGGGACCATTCTATACAATTGAAGCATTAAGGAATGACACAGAGGAAGATGAGATGCCCCAGGACGATGTGAGTTCTCAGAAGGCAGAAACAGGAAATTGGGAGCAAAAATTCCAGAAGGTGGGAGAAAAAAGGATTTGGAAGACTTCCAGAAGGTGGGAGAAAAAAGTTTCAGAAGGTGGGAGAAAAAAGTTCCAGAAGGTGGGAGAAAAAAAGTTTTGGAAGAGTTGGTGGGTGCATAGCCCATCCAAGGTCACCCACTTTATAGAGTTGGTCATATGATACACTCTGTTAGGTCACAATAGATACACATAGAAAACATATACACAAAACACTGCAACTCAAAAGAGGATTTTTTTCCAGTTATTTCTTTAGCTATTGCTAGGGAGATTTTTCCATCTTAGTAATCACAAACTCAAAAAATGTACCTGGAGGTCCCATAGCACACATGATCTGAATGTCCACTAGTTTAATCATGGAACAATCTTTTAGATCATACCAGTTCCAGTGGTCTAACCACTGTCTAAGTAACTCAATGGGAGGTTGAGCCCCATATACCTCCCGAGCAGGCATATTGACATCATCTACAAAGACAACCTGAGAATGAGAAGAGAAGAGGTACAGAAAATATTAACATCTCAACATACAGTCCTATTGTGTAAACAATATTGAGGCAAATACTTAGCTATCTATTTGCAGAGTACATATGAGGAAGTGATGGTTTCTTTTCTAAACAAGGATAATATCCTTAGCTTCCATGCTTTTAGGATTCATATTCCTTAAGAAATAGGGAGACATTCTCATTACTAATCTTCGTAGGTTAATAGCTTAGGACTTATTAATCCTCTCATACAATTTGTTTCTCAATATACTGCATATTTTTTCCTTGTACTACACTTCAATTCATGAAAATAGATGAGAAAAGTGTGATTAGGGTGAGAAGGGTGTTCTTTGCAGAGGAACACAGGTAAATCTATTGAGAGCTGTGTTGCTGAAGGTCTACAAAAGCAAGCAGCAAAGACTGCTGAATAAAAATGTTAGTGAAAAAATTAGGAAGGTAGATAATTTCTCAGATGAATATTCTACCTTCAACTCAAAGGGCAACTCCTTGTTTTAAACATCAAGCTGTCTAGTGCACATACAAATGTAACTACATTTTTAGGAGAACCTTTTAATCCAAATTTGTGACATTAAAAAACTATACAAAAAGATGTCTCTCCCCAGGATATTTGGTTTCCTTGTTCCAACTGCAGCAATGTATATGAATAGGCCCGGGTACTGTACAAAGAGTCATTACCATTCTCTTGCCCAAAGGAGGACCAAAAACTCCCTTTCTTCTCTTGTCCAATTTTGACATGACAATATTCTGAGTTTGAGCTGCTGTAGTTTGTGCTGAGAAGTTAATTAGCAGAGGTTTGTAGATTTCCTTATTTAGTTGATTTAAAAGAAAATTCTATATAACAAAATAAT
Organism: Homo sapiens; assembly: GCF_000001405.40. Classification (NCBI taxonomy): domain Eukaryota; kingdom Metazoa; phylum Chordata; class Mammalia; order Primates; family Hominidae; genus Homo; species Homo sapiens. The sequence continues at coordinate 195,876,717 of NC_000002.12, forward strand.
AAAATGAGCCATAGTTGGAATTATGTTTTGACATTTCAGAATAAACACTAAGCATCATTACTGATAGACTCGAATTTAACCTTAAGTGTTGTAACATTGTACAAATAGATGGAATCAGTAGGAATAACAGTTACCATGCCAATGGAGTGTCTCCATCTGTCCAGCCTCTTGCATGTGACTTCTCTGGTTTTCACAGCTACTGGGGAATACACATTCCTCCTTAACATGGAGTCACAGAGACTCAGAGGTTAGGAAACCTGCCTAAGTTCTCCGAGATGGGCAAGAATTCAGACTGCCATTTGTCTCTCTCTAGATGAATGTTCTTTTTCATATATCTTATTATCTTTCCACTTACATACAAAGCGATCTTTCTGTAAGTTAGAAAGCTTAAAAATATAACTGTATTTTCAAAATGGAATTCACTGGAAACCAGGTGGAATTACAATGGTTCTTAATCAAGATGTATGCCAGGGACAGGACATACCAGAATTCCCTGAGGAGCTCTTCAAAATAAAATTGCCTCTCCTCACTCTTTCTTCCCCTTCCCTCCCTCAAGAGTTCTGTATAGGGCACAATCCCTTGCCACTTAAGGACCAATTTATTAGAAAACATCCTATGTAAATCACATATTTTCTTAATGAACAGTAATATCTATCACATGCACATATGAATAAAGGAAGGGAAACGGTAAAGTTTTTTGACTGTTCTAAACTTTACTTGCATTAAATGCTTGCAGCATTCAGCTTTATAATTAAGATATTAAATTATTAACCCAAAATATCAAATGGTAAAATACCTCAAGCAAGTCCTCCTTTCATGATGTGATTATACACTAAACATTACCATAATTAAGCAAATGGAAATTCTGAAAGCATACTTTGGAATATTAATCTATTCATCAAGGCAATACATATTTTAAAAAGGACTTATGATGTTCTCATTAATGACTACATTTAGCACACATGCCAGGAGTACGAGGAGGCAGAACAAATATAGAAAATAAGGAAGACGTAGGGTAACAAGCTGGTCAGAGATTCTGGAGGAAGGCTTTTACTCCTCCCATCAGCCCAGCAGGAGCTACCTTTTTAAATTTAAAATTATTTTCCTTTCACAGAATGAGCACATTCTAAAATGGAAGTTCTTTAAAATCTTTGAAGACTTTGTGTTTGTACCTGTGATTGCCAGTTAGAATAGCAAAAACTGGGAATGGGGAAGTTTAGAATAAAAGTAGGAATATATTTTTGTGACTTTTATGATTAAAATTTCTTTTATGATTGTATAGTTATAATGTAAGTGATAGATTATTTCAAGAGGAATAATAGTTTGAAAACAAGTTATTCTATTTATTTAAAGAAACAACTCCCTATTCTGAGCAACAACTGTAATGAAGGAATGACATGTCTGAGTAAAGCAAATTTATACAAGTTTTTAAAAATTATTGCTTAAGACTCTAAAATATTATTTCACTTAGCTTGCCTACATGATGTACAATGTAAACACTGTATTATAATATATTTTTATTAGCTAACAGTGGAAGCCATATGGTAGGTAATCAATAAATTTTTGTTGGATTGATGCATGAACTAAATGAAACAGGAGTGAAATAAAGGGTGGGTGTGGTGGCTCCAGCCTGTAATCCCAGCACTTTGGGAGGCCAAGTCAGGAGGATTGCTTGAGCCCAGGAGTTGGAGATCAGCCTCGGCCACATAGCAAGATCCCACTTCTACATAAAAAATTAGAGGGTGTGGTGGTGCATGCCTGTAGTCCCAGCTACTTGGGAGGCTGAAGTGGGGGGATCACTTGAGCCCAGGAGGTCAAGGCTGCAGTGAGCTGTGATTGTGCCACTGCATTCCAGCCTAGGGGACAGAGCAAGACCCTGTCTCTCAAAAATAATAAAATAATGAAAATAAGAATGCAACACATACATAAGCCATGGTGTGAACAGTTTGGCAGTGAGCATTGAGGCCATCTAAAAACAGAACTAAATCTAACCATAATAAACATAAATAGTTCTAAAACCAAAATCCAAATGTAATTAATATAAAAAACTTCCAAAAGAGTTGCTGCATAATATTAAAAATTTGGCAAAAATAAACTGAGGTTTCAAAACATCTCTGTCTTACCAGAAGATGGTGAAAGGTATTGGTGATAAATAGCAGTATTTCACTCTTCCTCATTAACTGGGTAGGGGAAGGAGGTCAATGGATACTGTCATTCATAATATTGATAATTTAAAAACTGAATTTAGAAAAAAACTGTAGACTTTAGAAAAAACCTTAGTGTTTTAAAATAAACACTAGAAGAATTTTAAATAGTTTACGTACCCTTCCAAATCAATAGGAAGAACAAAATATTATAAACACACCATCATAACAGTAATTAAAAATGTTTAAAGCATATAAAAAGCTAAACAGAAAATGTGAATACAAAAGTATGACTCATTATGACAATTTATGTATGAGGTCAATTTCCTTATTAAAAGGAAAAAGGGCTCAGATTAACACAAATAAAAAATGCAGCGACACGCTGAGTCTAAATGATCAGAAATACTTAAAAAGAATAAGCAAAAATAGATCATGTAAATGAAAACAAAAAGAAAGCAAAAGAGAAGTAACTAAAGGGGACAATTAATAGAGTATGGTTCTGTGTATTGCTTACGTCATATATAGAGATAAAATGTACAAATCAGACCATTATCAGAATGTTGCCCTAATTCCAGGAGTTTATAGGTGATTTAAAAAATTCTAAATGGCACATTTTCACTTTTTATCAGGATGCCTTAAAAATTATATAAACAAAATTTATGTTTTCATAAGCTATCGTCAGGTAAGCCTTATTCTTCAGTTTAAATGAATACCTCTTATAATACTACCGCAGATAAAATTTCACTTGGTCTACTGAAAGATGAATATTTTTGATGTTTACATTTAACACTCAAAATTAAGTACATACTTATAAAAACTACTTGTTTGTTTATTCAATTTAATGATCAAATTATATGTGTTGATTAAAATTATTCTATAAAAGCTGTGTATTTATGTGAAAGGGAAAATACTCATTTGCCAATAGAGCTAATCTTTAAATGAGAAATAGCTATAATGAATATTAAATATTGTATTTGTTAACAATTATTTTAATCTAAGTTCTCAACTAAGTAAATTGTATGAAATTATAGACTCCTTCCTACCACTATCAAGATATTAAAACTCCCTCAACAGATTTGCTGTCAGCCAGTGTCTTCAGTTAATTTTTTTTTGTTGTATTGTTTTAACTTACATTTTTAGGTAATCTTTAAATAGAATACTACGTTTTTTCATCATTTATTTAAAATATAAATAGACATGCAATAATTTGAAGAGAAAAATCACTTTAAATTGTAACCCTATATTTGTATTATTTACAATACAACTAAATCTTAATTAATTGGGGCAATGAAATCCCCCTGAAGGGCATGGCGGACAATAACCTCTATGAGGAACAGCTTAATATTCATCAAAAAAATCAACAATTCCATGTCCAGGAATCTTAGGATATTTTCCTAAACAAATAAGCAAAGATAAGAACAAAGACTTAGCTATAAAAACGTTCATTGCAATCTTCTTTCTTTCTTTTTCTTTTTTTTTTTTTTTTGAGACGGAGTCTCACTCTGTCGCCCAGGCTGGCGTGCAGTGGCGCGATCTCGGCTCACTGCAAGCTCCACCTCCTGGGTTCAAGCGATTCTCCTGCCTCAGCCACCTGAGTAGCTGGGACTACAGGCGCCCGCCACCACACCCGGCTACTTTTTTTGTTTGCTTGTTTTTGTATTTTTAGTAGAGACTGGGTTTCACCGTGTTAGCCAGGATGGTCTCAATCTCCTAGTGATCCCCCCGCCTCGGCCTCCCAAAGTGCTGGGATTACAGGCGTGAGCCACTGCGCCCGGCCTGCAAACTTATTTCTAAAGCAAAATGTTAGAAAAATTAGGGATTTGAATCAATTATCATAAAATTATAGAATCAAATATTACAATACCCTTAAAATCATCTTGTAGAAGAATAATGAAATTGAAAAATATTTACAATATTAGTTTTAAAAGCAGATTACAGAAGTAAGTTCCTAAGTTTGTGAAAAGTAATGTTTTTATGCCTAGGCACTTTATTGCCTGGGCTGAAATTGATGAAGGTATAAATGACAAAAGGCTTGCATTTTCCTCTAACCACTGCCTTCAATCATGTTATGTCTCCATTCCCTGACCCATGGTGATATCTTAGATAAATCTCTCAGCTTTCTGTACACTTTTAGTTTTTTTTTTTTTTTAATCCAGGCCAAAAACACTCCCTGATTTAAATTCTCAGTGAAAATGTATCTCTGCCTCCTCTTGGATACTCCCATACATGCAAGCATTTACTTTATGAGAGATGTCATTCCAATCTTTTATGAAAGAGATTATTCAATAAATACTAGGATGGCTATGTAACTATACTGCCAAATACATTTCAGAAAGACTGTAAGATGTAATGTTAAAGTCAATAAAGAACTAGAAACAGGTACTGTGGGAGAATGTGAATTAACTGGAAGCTACAATCAAAGAGGGGCCCTCAAAAGTATCTTCATTCTCCTCCACAGGCTGCATAAAGCTACTGAGACTGCAGCATTTTCTATTACAGCATCTAGCATTATCTTAACTAACAGCCAATTCCAGACATCATTAAGGAAAATCAGTCTTGTTACTACATAATAATCCTTCAGATATAAAATAACTTAGAAAATATCAAGTGTAACTAAAACACACTTTTCAAGAGGTATGAAATTCTCATGTGGAACAAGCAATTCTTATTAAAATATCAAAATAAATGGGACAACAATTTAATGGTATAAAATGGCAACGTATCATTAATCAACTTTTGAAAATAAATAGGCAATTATCACTTCTTGGCCTTTTGGCTAAAACAAAAAAAAATAAGTGGCAATTTTTCAAAAATTCTCTGCAGTTCAAACATCAAAGTACTTGAGTATTTTTAAAAAATTATTTGTCTGCTATTTCAAAAACATTCTTAGGAAGATTATGCACAGTTTAATACGCAGATTTCTGCAGTACTTACCGTAATGTAAACACTTTTCCCAGTTCCTGTTGGTCCTACAAATATTGAAGGCTTTTGATGGGTGGTCAGCAATTCCATTAATGCAGAGTATCGAATTGTGTCCAGAGTTGGCACAATGATTTCATTAAACATTACATCTTTAGGAATTGGAGGAGCTTCTTTCAATTTCTTTATCCATGGTTCCCATTTTCCTATTCCCTGTTTATAATTAACAACCAAGTAATGAATGCTATAAAATACTTTAAAAAGCTCTATACTCCTGTGCCATTGTAGAAAAGACTAAGACCAACAAACCCTGATATGTATACATTTGTTTTATCCTTTAAGACACTTTACACTCAGTTTGAAGGTTAAATTGTACATGTAAATTAAGGAGAAACTAGCTTTTACATGAATACAAATGAAACAGCAATACTGTGGTTTTTTGATGCTCTGAAATCACTGCTTATGCCAACCTAATAATCAATTATTGTGGCCAAATGTTAGATTATTTAATGGCATTGAGAAAATCAAACTAACCAATAGGCTAAAGAGTAAAGAACTTTATTCAATAAATGTTAACCAATACAGAATTTTTTCTCCCTAGAAGATAAGCTGCATATTGCTTGACTTTTATAACAGTATTTATAACATTAGCTTATCATTGCAGGCAAAATTTCTTTTTAAAAAATGTATAGAAAAAAATATATAAAATTTACCCTTAACAATTTTTAGGTGTACAGTTCAGTAGTGTTAACTACGTTCACATTGCTGTGTAACAGATCTCTAGAACAGGCAAGATTTCTTAATATGAGATTATTATTATGAGTTAACATTGTGCCATATCTTTGCATCCAATTAGCTTGAGAACTAAAATTTTAATTTGCTATGACAGTGTTTATAACAAAAACATTCAACAACATCATGATAACTCTGTCTTCTTAGAAAAACACCACCACCCTTCTTGCAGAATAAAATCTAAATTCTTGGTCATTCAAAGTACATCAGAATTCGGACCCATCCTTCCTTCACAACCAGGCCTCACTGATGCACATGCTGGTCCCCCCACCCCGCTTCCCTGGGCCCGAGCTTTGATGCATGGCACTCCTTGGGCCAGAACGGCACATGACTGTCATCTGAAGAGGTTATGAACTCACTGAGGCTAGCACTGTGCTTTATTCATTCTTGTATCTTCAGGTACAAGGCTGTGCGTACAGCAGAGAATTTTTTTTTCGGGGTGTTAAATTCACATCACTCTGAAAATTGTATTATAAAGAAATATTTCTAGAACCAACGAAGAAAATAATGCCTTTCCCAAATTCTTGATAATCTTTTCAAACATGTGTCTTTTGATACTGTATAGGAAAGGAACCATTAAGAATCAGAAAACCTGGCCGGGCACGGTGGCTCACGCCTGTAATCCCAGCACTTTGGGAGGCCGAAGTGGGCCGATCACAAGGTCAGGAGATTGAGACCATCCTGGCTAACACGGTGAAACCCCGTCTCTACTAAAAATACAAAAAATTAGCTGGGCATGGTGGCGGGTGCCTGTAGTCCCAGCTACTCGGAGAGGCTGAGGCAGGAGAATGGCGTGAACCTGGGAGGCGGAGCTTGCAGTGAGCCGAGATCGTGCCACTGCACTCCAACCTGGACAACACAGCGAGACTCAGTCCCCGCTCCCCCCCCCCAAAAAAAAAGAATCAGAAACGCTGAAATGTACTGTTATTTAGAGGTTGTGTGATGCTGGGACAATCACATTAAATCTCCGAGCCCCATTTCCTCAATGGCAAAACTTGCAAAATAATCTTATCCTTCCCACTTCACCAAGGTGTTGAAAAATGAAATGGAAATAATTGCAGAAAGCTTAATAAACTGTAAACTACCCTGAAAATGCAGGGTATTATCAGCAATTTGAAATTAAATAAAGTAAAAATATCTGTGTTGGGCACAGTCGCGCCTTTTGGGGTGACATAGCAATACATTGCAAGAACCATAAAAATCCAAAAAGCAATACAGTAATGCCTTTTCTAGAAATTTATCTTAAGGATATAATCAGATATGTACCCAATGACTTGTATCTAAGAATATTTACCAAAGTAGTACTTATAAAAGTGAGAATCTAAAAACAACAAAAACAGTCCAATGTCCAAGGGTAGGAAATTGACTTTAGAAAGCATGTTTACTGAAGAAACATTAGTGAAAGGGAAAGCTGTTCTCATTAAGAAAACAAGAAGGATATAAAGCTGCCCATTGGGAATGTGGTATGATCCCAATTGTACTTAAATCTGTATATATTTAAATAACATATATTCCTAAACTTGGTCCTCAGTACAATACTTGTGGGTGGGAGTTGTTATACAAAAACCACTACCACCCAAGTTTTAGTTTCAAATCCGTTTGGGAAGCACTGAATTAAGATTATACCAGCTGGATTCCTACAGGACTTCTTAGTGCCTAGTATACTAACATGCACCATGAACTTCTAACAGCTGTCCTTAAACAGTATGTGCCTGGTGTGATTCTATTTAATGAGTGCAACTGGTCCATTAGATATTATTATCTCATAGTATCATTGGAAAGAACTATGTTCAGAGAAATCAACTAGTCCATGGCTATACAGAAAGAAAGTGACTTTACTAGGACTCAAACCTAGAGGTGTCTGACTTCAAGCCAGTGCATCTTCCTCTATTCTATGCTGTCTCTTATGGTAAATAGTGATGATGAAGGTGGCCACAGGGCCATTATATGCTATGTGTCAGAGAGGGGACTCTGCCAGGCTGGCAGCTGCAAATCTTGCTTCAGAACTCTTACCTCAGTGACAAATTGATAATCATAAATTGTTCCTTTTTCAGGAAATGGGACAGTTAGTGCCTTTGAGGATGTTTGCTCAGTACCACTCTGTAATTTAAACGTATTTCGAGTTCGATCTGAAATTGGACTTTCCATTAGTTCTCGAAGAATCTTATTAAATTTCAATCGATCATCATCTGTACAAGAAGCACCAACGGACCAGATCAATGAAAACAGAAAAATGCCCTGCATTGGACAGATGAGAAGATTAAGAACAATTAAAGAATAATTTTAATCTGTCCTTGAAGCTTACATATCAGATCAGCCAGATTAGTATCTCTGAAAGGAAACACGTAAGCTCAAATATATTAGTAGGTCATCTCAGGATTTTGTAATCATAAGGGTTTTTAAAAATCAAATCGCATGCTTATAAAATCTTAGAGAAGATGATACAAAACAAAGTATACATTCTGGCCATAGTGAAACTTCAGAATGATTAATCTAGTAAATCTCACATTTTCAACACATGACAGCAGCTTGATATTAAAAGGAACATAGAAATAAATTATTAAGGTATTAAGGCACACTTTAATAAGGCAAATAACCTACATATCCATTTTCTATTTAAATTTTGATATGGTGGGTTTACTTTAAGAACAAATTTAAATGATTTTATTTGTAATATCTGAGCATTAAGTGTGTAAACTAGAATTGCAATTCTGCAAGCAAAAGATACTAGCTTTCTTCTTTCCAGACTCAAAAAGAGGAAACAGAGTAGAAGACAAGACCTACCAATAAGGTAGGAAGCCTGTTTGCTTGTTTAAAACAAGGTCTTTTATTAAGTACAAAGCCAAGAGATTCTGGACTATGCTCATAAAAGTTCTGGACTCTACTTCAACCCTATTCACCTACTCCTAGTTTACTCACAGACTTTCTCTCCAGAAACCATTTAACACTAAATTAAAAATTAATTTCTTTTAAAACATATAAGTTAAGCAAGTACCATATTGACCACAGTAGAAGTGCTACCACGAGTAATGCAGTAATATTTTCATTAAAAAATCCAAAGTCTACTGATATTTTTATTCCCATTTTAAAAATTGGTTTATTTATTACCTACATATTTTCTTGCTTTCCTTAATCCAAATATCTATTTATACACACACACACATACAAATAATTTATATCTCATGAAAAAAGGAAGAAAAATCAAGGGAAATAAAGCAATAAATTATTATAGTTTGGAAAGGAGGTAAATCTCATTGCCAAAATGGTCACTGACATTTTGGGAATGGATCATGTCTAAGGCTGGTCAAAAGACCTGAGATTTCAGTAGCAGATCTGATGTGATCACTGGGCTCCGCCCGAACCTCATGATGCATCATGACTCCCAGGCAAGAAGCTTCCCCACCAGCACTCAGAATTTGGGGCCTGGCTCTTTGCTCATTCTTCAGCTACCACCCGTTGACTAGTCTCCAACTTCAGGGGCAAAATGAGTTTCACAAATTAGGAAGCTTTGGGGAAAGCAGTAGATACCTGTCTTTCTGTAGCAGGATACAGAAGGCAACGGACCTTACCTCAAGCAAAGAGTAAGTTTCTCGATCATTTCTCTCCTTTAGTTTGACTTCATCAGCAAAATCATCCATAAAACAGTCTATTAGATTCATTAAGGACCGGACCAAGTTTGTATCGGAAGTAGGAGATAATTCCTGAAAAGTCAGTAAGAAAAATGACTAAACAATTTAAATTAGGTAATAGCTAAAATAGCCCCAGCTAATATTTATTAAGCTCATTTAATTTTAACAGGTAGTAATAATTTTAAATTCATACTACCTACGAGTAGGTACTATTATTACAATTCACTTGGGAGAACTGGATGTTACATTTAGGTAGTGTGTACTCTTTAACCTTTCGCATCGATTCTCAAGTTTTAAAAAATTGCTGTTACGTGTGCAGTTAATTTAAGATATGGATTCCATGGTATACTAATTTTATAAATAAAAACACTAAAAAAATTTCAGAGACGGCAGTTAATTTCTATATCTAAAATGCTTAATTAGTAAAATCCATTTTAGAGCATATGTATAAGCCACAGCAATACTCATGGTAAACTCATCACTATGAAATACAATTCCAAGTCTTGGAGCCCTCAAAAGCCTTGCTGGAGTGCTGAACTTGTCGTGCACTTTACTCTTTTGCTTGTCACCATGATAGTTTATAAAATAAATGAAATAACGTGTAATGCTCCTAGAACTATGTAGCATATAGCAAGTTCTCATAGGCGTTTGTCTTCTCCCCACGCAGCTCTCTTCCAATTGCCAAGTCACATTGTTTGGTGATTAACAAGTAAAAATTAACTCTCTGAGACAGACTCCCTGAAGATTAGAGGCAGGTGACTTCATGTTCAGTTGCCACCCCAGTAGAAACATCAGAAATGACAGCTGAGTTTCTAAGTGTGGGACTAAGTATTACTGATGCAACACTAAAATACAAATAGTTATCATTACAAATAAAACAGATACTTATTACTACATAGTAAATAACAGGCATTCCTAATTTCTTCAAGAAATAACAGAAGTGCACAGCACATTTTAAAAAGCTTGCATTATAAGTGTCATGCTTTCCTATAGAAAGGATGTTTCAGTTACATAGAAAATTCGTTTATTATTTGTATTATCTAAATTCTCTGACAATGCTGGAAAAAAAACCCCATAAAGGCCCTGAAACTTATTTTATTATGACTTCAGTTCATATATGTTAACTGTTTTTGAAACATGATTACTTCGTATCTACAACATATTTCAGTTACAGCCAAACTTCTTGAAAGAGCAGGGTGGAAGACACATCACTTCCTTCAGATGTTCTTCCCTCTTTCCTCTCTCTTGTCTAAGTCACTCATGTACCTGTGAGTCTATCTCTTGCTCTCTTCTTTTTTTCTCTGGATTTTTTCTTTAGGTAATCTACATTAACATGGTTTTAAAGTCCATTTTCCAAATCTGTACCTTGAGCTAAACTTCTGCCTCAAGATTTTTTGTTATATCTTCAACATCAAGAGAACTATCAACCCTATTTCCCTACATTTGCTCCAGGGCCAAAGTCATTCTAAAAGACCTTTGGTCAGCATCTCCCAAAGCAGAAATTAAACATTCTTGCTCTGTAATTTCCAGCTAGAGAGAGTTTAAGAGCCTCGCTGAAGCTCATCAACTCTCAGAGGCAGGAGATTCCCATTTCCTTGTCATTTTCCTCCCTCCCACCATCCCCCTCCCTCCTCTTCCCCTCCCCAGTGTGTACTGAAAGAAAGAAAAATGAATTTGCCTACTTTGGGACCTCTTTCCAGTCCTTCTACCATGGACTGACTGGCTTATTTTAGGAACTTTGGATAATAAATAATATTGTAATAATGGAAATTATTTAAAATGCAATAGCCCATCAGAAGAAAGAAATAACATTTTGACATGGTTATGCGGGCCTTTGAGTTCTCTTTTTTTTAGAGAGAAAAGAGTAGCACCAATATACCTCATTTGAAATATTTTTAGTGAACTGCATGAATTCTAATCTAAATTTTTAATTTAATCAAAAAGGTTTTGATTTAATATCTCTTAGCTGATAATAAAAACAGACATTAAAATTGATATGTAAGTCTAATTTGAGTTTTCCATTTATTTTTTAATCTTAAAATTCTCATTTCCCTTACCTTTGTATGCTTTCTAATAAATTCAACCGAAACAGGGACCATTCTGTCAAATAAGCCCATTATGAATTCCTTTTGAATAACACTGACTGACGCAGGTAACAGATTCACCCAGGACAACATCAGTGGTCTCCAGCCTAACATGTGAGGCTCCATGTAAATCATGCCACATCTGGAAACCTGGAAAGCCATAATTGGTTACCATCAAGGTAATAATGCTTATAAAATAAATATGATTTGGCACCTCTGTTTTTTTATAACCTTCAGCAAAGTCTTGGGCGGGGGGAAGCTTAATATTATATAATTTCATGATGTCGATTTTTGTGTCTGACTTTACCAAATAGTCCTAAACCAAGAGAAAAACATCCTGACCACTAAATTAGTCAAGATATGTCAACAGATAACGTCTGTACTTTGAGAATCACAGATCGCTCTTAAAAGAAATTCTGCTAATATTTTTTGTTTAAAGTCAAAGGTACTAAGCAAATACATGCATTTATAACATTTTATAATTTATAAAAAGATGTCAAAATGGAGAACTTACAGTGGCAGGGGAAGCAACTTCTAAATCCATTGGCTCAAAAATTAGATTCATTTGTGGTGACATCTGAATAATCTCCCCACTCATCAGACATAGCTTCTTGTTGTCATCCAGCACAGTGTTCATATTCTCAATCCACACTGCATCTACTGGGCCATCAAAAATTAACCATTTCCTATCTGGAGTCTGTTTCATGCATATGTGAACAGAGGGCAAAAACGTAATGATGATAATATAAAGAAACAGTTCAATAATATTATTTCAAAATTTTAAAATATAAGTACTAGGATTAATTTCATCATGAAAACGTAAAAGCACTTTTTGAATAAAGATTACTATGTGTGTGTGTGCACAGATGTATATAATATGTATCACTAAAGAAGCCTATACTATATATGCCATGGACAAGACAGACATATGTCATCTTTTCTTAAGATTCTTTCTCTCTTGCTTCCTTCCTTCCTTTCTTTCCTCCCTCCCTCCCTCCCTTCCTTCCATCCATCCTTCCTTTCTTTCTTTTTCTTTCTTTTCTTTTTTTTTCAGGGTCTCACTCTGTTGTCCAGGCTGGAGGGCAGAGTGGGGTGATCATGGCTCACTGCAGTCTTTGACTCCCAGGTTCAAGCAATCCTCCTGCCTCAGCTCCCAACTAGCTAGGACCACGAGTGCGCACCACCACACCCAGCTAAATTTTTTATTTCTTGTGGTAGAGATGGGGTTTCACTATGTTGCCCAGGCTGGTCTTGAACTCCTGAGCTCAAGATCCACCTGCCTTGCCCCCACAAAGTGCTGGGATTTATAGGCATGAGCCACTGCACCTGGCCCTTGATCAATGTTTCTGAATTCAAATATATTAACATGTTTTAGAAAGTAATATAAGTAAAAAATATCTACTTTCTAGGAAAAACAAAATTATTCAGATTATCTGACTCTATATAGTACCATGTTTATGCAAATTAATTACCATTGTGTGCTAAAGCAAATTTCTTATCCCCTTCACTGAATGAATTCACACACATACATACACGTATACACACCCACTTGGGCTGAACTCTTTCCTGATGGTATAGAAAATTACAACCAATATAACATTCACAGTCCCACAATGATATAATAAATATGAAAATATTTATACATTGTCCAGAATATAGTAAATGCTCAACAGATATGAAACAGTAGCCAGGTATTAGCCAGAGTGTACAGAGACTGATTCTCCTTTTCAGATCCTTATAATTCAACCTTTTTTGTATACACCAATGATTCCTTGCTTTTCCTTCAGCAAATATGATTTCAAGTTGAAGTGGTGAAGGATTTGAATCCATATTAGCACGTTCTCAGTCCCTGCAGCCAACTGCATTAATCTATAAGATAACGGGTCTGTCTCAGGCTCAAGCCACCCCACACCCACACTCAGAGGCCACTTCTAGCTGTGTTCAGGAAGCAAGGAAGAGCCACAGCTCGGTGATCATCTTGAGATCAGCTTCCTCTCCTGCTGTGGGCTTCCCATGCCTGTTATGCATCACTTTGGGAAACACTACCGTGCAATGGCGAGACCTTGGGCTTCACAGTCTCAAGGACCTCACTTTTCATTTGACTCTACTACTTATGAGCTGTGGACTTCAGGTGAACTACTTAAACTCCCTGAGACTCAGTATTTGTGGGACATAGCTTCCTGAAAAATGTAATGTAAGTTGTAAGTATAAAATAGAGGTATCTCATGATTATTTCTGTGTAAATAATATAACTGTATATATTATCTAGTGACTTCATCTCTTATTCTGAGCCAGAGTGCCTCCATTGTGGCAAGATAGGACCTAAGAAGCCACATCAAGGGTTCCAGAGCTCTGTCTGCTTCACTTGTGCCCACAATTTCTTTTATCCTTGAAATTACTAGTAACACTTGACTTTGGGCAAGATCTCTGCCCCATGAGAGTCAGTCCTTATGTCATTCATTGCCTAAGGTCTTTCCAGCAATAAGAGCAGAGCTGAGATTTCACGTTTTATCCATTATTACCTGACTCATGAGTCATGCTCTGCTAGGTCCTTAAGTGGGTAGACAGCATCAAGTTTAGAATGTATGGTAGTCAGAAGAAAGAAAACACTTATAAAAAGAATGATTTGATAAACAACTTAAACGTCCTGAGCCTAGGCCCCTTTTCCTATACTACCAGCTTTAGCAAGCTGTCTCCCGTATAATCACATGCTCTGCAGAACCTGCTAAAATATGGCAACCAAGTTAATATGTATTGGTCTGCGGATTCTTTTTATGGGAGTGGGCAGCAGAATAAGCCAGGAGTAGGTTAAGTGCCCACTCTCCATTCACAGCCAGTAGCAGCTGGCAAGCCACTTGTCTCCTCTGCTTTCCACAAGGCAGTCATTCTCTTTCTAATATGCTAAAGGAAAAGTGTGGGAACTTTAAGACATCATTGTGCAAAGGTGTGCAATTTCTTCTCTAAGCATTGGCGTATATCTAACAATTAGCAGGCATGACAATAGCAGCAGCCCACAGAGTGGGTGGAGGAAGAACATTACTGAAGAGGCAAAAGGATCATGTCATTCAGATATTCTCATTTTTAGTTCATCTCACTTCGGAGAAAATAACCAGAAATACTTTGCCCTGGCCTTTTTTTTTTTCTACCCTCTCTTCTGTATTCCTCCAGGGTAAAGGAGCTTGGTCTCTGGCATTTTTGTAGGTGCTGACATTTTTCTTCACAGAAATACTGCCAGAATATCCAGTACTGTGTTTTAAATAATATCTTAATCTATAGATACAATTAGTTTGTTTGAAAAAAAAATCAGAAATTGGTCAGAAATAAATATCTTAACCTTTTAAGATATGCATGTGAAAGTGTTAGAACTTACCACTGAAGAGGCAAATGCTCTAAAACTGACAGCAAGGACCCCATCAGACCATTCATGGGACACTGAATCAAACTGTCCGTACAGTTGGCCCATGGTGACAGACTTAGGATTTAAAACAGTTATTTGAACTTTGTTTTCTTCCATTAGCCCCTTAATGAAAAAAAAAAACATTTATTTATGTAAAGAATACTGTCTTTATTCATAGAAAACATTATTGCACATACAGAAAATCCTAAGGAATCTACAAAGAAAGTATTAGAAGTAGTGAATTTGACAAGGTCCCAGCATACAAGGTCAATATATAAAATCAATTATATTATCTATATGCAATGCTAATTAACGATTGAAAAATAAAATTTAAAAAGTATTCACAATAGTATTTAAAAGCTCACAAAATACTTAGGAAGAAATTAGCAAATGTTGTGCAAGATCTACATATCTTAAACTAAGAAATGGGTTGGCAAATTCTTCTGTAAAAGATAAGATGGTAAATATTATATAGGCTTTGCAAGTTTCATATCATCTGCCACATATTCTTCTATGTTTTCTTTTTTTAATTAACAAATGTTTAAAATGTTAACACTATTCTAAGTTTATTGGCATTACGAAAAAAGGCTTGGGGCTGAATTTGGCCCATGTACTGTAATTTGCTGACCCCTGCTACAAAACAACCTCTGAGAGAAAATTAAAAGATCTAAATATACAGAAATGTCTATTTCTTGTGGAGTGAAAAAGTTAATGTTGGTAAATTGTCAATTTTACCCAAAACCCTGAAAGCTGGTCTATGGCATTATAAGAGATATTAATGCCCTTTGGACATAATCTTTTTTTTTTTTTTAATTAACTGGCTTTTTAAAAAAAGGTTTACAGAAAAATTGAGCAGAAAGTACGAAGATTCCAGATACTCTCTCTACTACCAAGACACAACAGTTTTCCTTATTATTAACATCTTGAATTGGTGTGGTACATTGTTATGGCTGATGAATTCATATTAATGCATTACTATTAACTAAAGTCTATAGTTTACACTAAGGGTTCACTCTTTGTGTTGCATAATTATATGGGTTTTGCCAAGTGTGTAGTATCATTATCCCCCATTATAGTACCATACAGAACACTTTCACTCCCCTAAAAATCCTGTGCTCCACCTATTGGCAATCATTTATTTTTTATATATAAAAACATAACAAGTTCAACTCTTTCTAATATTGCCTTCTGCCTGGCACTCCCGAGCTTGGGACACAAACTACCAAACTGGAAAAAAAAAAAAAAAAGTGAGAATATTAACCTTTTTTTTTCTTTTTTCTTTTGAGATAGGCTCTCACTCTGTCACCCAGGCTGGAGTGCAGTGGCACAATCTCGGCTCACTGCAGCCTCCTGGGCTCAAGTGGTCCTCTCACCTCAGCCTCCTGAGTAGCTGGGACTACACATGGCACATGCCACCACGCCCAGCTAATTTTTTGTGTTTTTTTTTAAAGTAGAAACAGGGTTTCTACTTTTATCCAGGCTGGTCTAGGACTCCTGGGCTCAAGTGATCCGCCTGCCTTGGCCTCTCAAAGGGCCAAGATTACAGGAATGAGCCACCACTCCCGGCAGAATAGTAATCTTCTCACTCTGTCACCCAGGCTGGAGTGCAGTGGTGCGATCTCGGCTCACTGCAAGCTCTGCCTCCCGGGTTCACGACATTCTCCTGCCTCAGCCTCCCTAGAAGCTGGGACTACAGGCAGCCGACACCACGCCTGGTTAATTTTTGTATTTTTAGTAGAGACAGGGTTTCACCATGTTAGCCAGGTTGGTCTCAGTCTCCTGACCTTGTGATCCGCCCGCCTCAGCCTCCCAAAGTGCTGGGATTACAGGCGTGAGCCACCGTGCCCAGCCCAGAATAGTAATCTTAAACAATAAAACAAGCTCAATATCTTTGCTTTCTTTTGTGTGCCAGGAAGGCGATAACAATGTATCTTCCTAAATTAAGAAGTATAGGAAATCTCTATTATCTTCTTAATCAGAACAAAGTTGCTGTCACCAAAGAAAAGTTTTTATCCTAAATGCAGCAAGGCTAGTGTGAAGCGATAGCTTGGTTGGCTAAGGAAGACTGCCCTATGACATAATCACAATGTCACCCTTAGAATTCCCTGGTAATGAGCCATTTAGACTTTACAAGTGGACCAGAATACATGCTCATATCTTCATCTCCTTCTACTCTTTGAGCAGTGACCTGTTGGGTTCTTTTGGAGACTTTATTTTATATATGTATATATATATAAAAGATCAGTTCCTATGACAATAAAATAACAAAACAGGAAAAATACAAATGAGCCATAAATAAGATAAAGAATGCAGAAGACAATTAAGAAGTGAAAAAATGGAAGAAAAAAGAGAAGGGAAGTAAAGAAACAAAACAGCATGGAAGTGTAAAAGCAGAAGAAACAGATGGCAGGAATAAGTAGCGTATCAGTTTGTATAATAAATACAAATGACTTTAAACTTATCTTTGAAAAGATAAAGACCACTGATCTGTAGAAAACAAAAGTCAAGCTATTTATTCTCTATAGAAAGTAAATCACAGTGACACCCAAGGATATAATTAATGACATGGGCAAATATACATACAGGGAGAAAGTAGGGGTAGCAATATTGAAATTAGACAAAGTAGATCACAACAAATAACAGAAAAGTAAGTAATTTCATATTGATTGAAAGGGAGACTCTTCAAGTAAAGATATAATCATCACAAACCTCATATAGGATATGAACATTGAAATTTATAAAGTGAAAACTATTTGAAATATCTATAAGGAGAGGTAAATAGAAATGCAATATTAGTTGAAGTATTTAAAACAGCCCCACTCCTTCAGCATTTCAAAGTCAATCAAAATGTGATGTGTATAAGAATTCTGAATGTGTCATTATATATGTGTGCACATATGCACATATACACATTTCAGTTCAATACCACTAGCAGCCAATAACAGAAGCTTGCATTACAAATCTATCTAGAAAATAAAAAAGACTCCTCTGAAAGTATTGCAGGAAAACCTTCAGATTTTTCTGTTTTCAGACTTTTTTCTACAAGAGACATGTATTACTTTAATAATTTTTTTAAAAAAGAAATAAAAGGTCGAAAGCAAGTTTGTGGCATACCCTTTATATGCTGAACTTCCTATTTGCTTCATTTTACTTTTCTAAAACTTTATTTTCTCTTTGACTCATTTTTCTCATGATTTTAAGTTGCCACATTGAATGCATCTTTTAAAATAATGGTACATTCTACCTTGCACAAAGTCAATTATAAATAAATTAATGCATTAATAATATACTTGCCTTTTCACATATATCATTTAGTGCTCCAGCTAAGACACGATATGCACTAGTTTTTCCTCCAAATGGTTCTCCAACAATCATAAAACCATGACGCACAATCATCATTTCATATACTTGAAGAATCTTCTCGGAAAAGAATGCAGTCATTTGCAAATTCATGGAGGCACAATTGTCTTTGATAGCTGCCAGCAAATCATTGTAATCTGGTTTTGGTAATTTTACCCCAGGAAACAAATCCGAAGTAATTCCCTGATGATAGATGATTTGAAGGATTTACATTTTATATATTTATATTAAATACAAATATTTTGTATTGATGGAAATAGGGCCATTAGATAATAATAGTTCAACAATATTTTTAACAGCTTTATAGAGGAATAGTTCACATACGCAAACGTGTATTTTTTTCTTTTTTTCAATTTTTAAATTGTGATCCTTATGATGTTCGTTTTGCAAACAGTTTTTGTTTTGGTTTGTTTTGTTTGAGACAGGGTCTGGCTCTTGCTCAGGCTGGAGTGCAGTGGCACGATCATGGCTCACTGCAGCCTCCGCCTCCCAGGCTCAAGCCATCCCCCACGTCAGCCTCCTGGGTAGCTGGGACTATAGGTGGCAGTATTTTAAAGTATAAAATTTCATAAATAAAACCGTCAAAATAACCAAGATAATTAACATATCCATCACTCTCAAAAAGTTTCCTGTAACCTTTTGTAATCCTCCTTCCCTCCTCTCCTTGCTGCCTCCTACCTCCATCCCCAGATTGCCACTGATCTGTTTTTGGTTACTATTTTTATTTGCATTGTCTAGACTTTAATATAAATGAAATTAGACCATATACATACTACTTTTTCCCTCTGGCTTCCTTCACATGGCATAAATATTTTGAGATTCAAACATGTCACAGCAGGTATCAATAGTTTATTCTTTTTTTTTGCCGAGTAATATTCCACCGTAACAAAGTGCTACAGTTTTTAAATCTATCCACCTATTGATGTGCATTTTCACTGTTCCAGTTTTAGGCTACTACAAATAAAGTGACTACAAACATTTGTGTGTGAATTTGTATGAACAAATGCTTTCATTTCCCTTGGGTGAATACTGAGACATGGAATAACCTGAATATGGTGGATAGGTGTTGAACATTTTAAGAAACTGCTTAACTGTTTTCTAAAGTGGTTGTACTAAGTCATGTTCCTCTAGCCATGTATAAAAGTTCCAATATTAGGTATGATCCATCTTTTAAATTTTAGCCATGCTGTGCAGTGATATTTTGTTACGGTTTTGATTTGTATTTTCCAATGAGTAACTTCTTTACCTGTGCTTAGGCCATATGTTTATATTTTTCCTGATCTTGTCTTTCATTTTCTTATGTGTCTTTCAAAGAGTAGTTTTTTTTTTTCAATTTTGTCAATGTATTCTTTTATGGATTGTGTTTTTTGGTATTGTACTTAAGTAATCTTTGTCTAACACAAAGTCACAAAGGTTTTCTGCTAGAAATGTTAGAGCTTGAGGTTTTACATTTAGTTTCATGTTATTTTTAAGTTAAAAAGTTGGAGTCCTGACTTCTAGTTCAAAAATGGCAGCGTAGAAGCAAGTGGACTTCACTCCTCACCTCCACTTGAGAAATACTGCTTAATAAATGTTTGCTGAATGAATATACAACTGCATGACAATACATCTAGTGAGGTATATTTCCATATTCTGAAAATAAACATAGGTTTTACTCCTGGAAAATCTGTACAGTGCACCAGTACTAAACAAATTGAGGGAAAACTTTAAGGAGAAAATCTGAACTCTTTCCTTGTTGATTTGCTCCATAATATATTTGCATGTCAACTCTAAATACTAAGTAAAGCTCTTTTCAGAATGATGAGACATGGCTGCCATCGGTAGCTAATGACACTGGACAATACTAGCAACAGCATCTCTTCTCCCCTTCCCCATGACATAACAATATCTTCAGTGCTAGGAAAACTGGATAACTATATGCAGAAGAATGAAACTAGATTCCTATATCTGGAAATATGTAACACACTGCAAGCTAACTGCCTGAATTCCAAAACAGCGTAAGTTAGTCCAACATCTAACATTTAGGAGGCACTCACTACCCCTCTGAGTTCTTCTACCTGGTATGGAGAAGAGGAAAAGAATGACACCAAAGGATATTATGAAAACTTTAACCATTATTCTAATACTTCCTCTCAATTACTCATAATCTTAAATTATAATAAGATTATTAAGCTTAGTTCTTATGTTATCATAAAAAACAATTTCATAAAAGTCATCTCATTTAAGGAAATTAAGCATATTTATCTATTTTATTTCTTCAGTCATTAGTTGAACAAGCATTTACTATATCTATACTGTGCTAGGGATTCAGTGGTGTGTTAGACCAATTATTTTTCTTTACGGAGCCTGCATTCTAGTGGAATTTATAAGCAAATATTTTGTAACTTTCATGTGCCCATTATTTTCTGCAGTAACAAACTTAAAAGTACTATTTTAAAATCCCAAGTTGTTGAAAGTTCTCAAAGTGACAAAGCTAGCTAAACACACTTCAAATAAAATATGGAATTATCTATGTTTCTCTGTACTGTGTCATTGTTTTCCATAGTGGGAGCTTCACAACCTTAGACATGTGATAAATACATTATTATAAGAGTTTTGATGCATTGGGATAATGAATGTTCTTACCTCAAAGAGTGGTAAATCATGGGATAAAAATTTTGGCAGATTTACATCAATGATAGATCTAAGCAGCAAAATTTCTTCATTTTCATTTGGATATTTCAGCTAAAAAAAAAAAAAAAAACTCATGAGGATATCTGCATCTCCTAACAGCACCTACCCGCTTCGTGTTCGCATACACACAAACCTACAGACCCTGTAACTCAGTTTAAACAAATGCAGCTCTTCTTTCTTTATATTGGATTGTTATGAATTTTAGAAACTGACATTTAAACTTGTTGTGTTTTTTTTTACTAGTTTATAATAAAAATACAGGTTAAACTAACTACCTTTTCACAGATATGCTAAGTAAAGAGGTATTAACATGAATTAAATATAGTTTGGCAGCTGCCATCCCTTATATTGGGTAGAGCTTGCTTGTTCTCTGCATGTATTCATGACTAGCAGTAGACTGGTCAAATGAAAATTATTAAAAGTGGGCAATCATTTTGAAAAGAGGCATTTAAATTTAAAACATATAAACATTCACTAATTTTCCCATATTTTGATGCCAAGGCCTTTTCTCTGCATATACAGTTAGGCACAATTTTTTTTTCCAAAAGCATCAATAACACATCATCTATTCTATCTTGTTGTGTTCTGTTTTTGTTTTTTAAAGAGGCCAGTGCTCTTCAAAGATACTTGTAATATAATTTAAGTGTATCATTCTGATAAATTTTTAAGTTTTTCTTCAGTTTTATACACACTTCTTATCAACATCTTATTCAAAGTCAAAATTTTAGCATTTCATCGTTATTGAATCTTTCTTAAACATGAACTTAGTTTTCACAGGAAAAAAATTCCTTCTTTCTATGCTTATATATCATCAGTTTTCGCACCATGCAGTTAGATGACATAATAACAGTAACGTGTCCAAGCGGCTTCAAAAAGGTTCAAGAACAAGCAAACCGGCTCTGAGTAAGGAATGCAGCTCATCTGACAGAAGCCGAAGTGGAAGGGCAGAGCAGGGGATGCTGCTGGCTGCACGCCCAGAACGCCACATGTTAGCAAGTTCCACAGAGAGAGTGGAGACGGCTGGTCATGCACTAAGTTAGTTTAATAAAGTGTGTTTAAGAAAACTCACATTAGATTCCAAAATATTTGTGGTGTACCCAAAGTTTACTACAAATCTGGTTGAACTCTTAACTTGTTACTCATACCTATAATAATGTTCACATGAATTTACAAAAATCCAAACTCAGAATTATTTCTTCCAACTTTAATACATTATTCAACATCTCACTCCAAAGCTTCTCCTACCACCATGCATATAATTTTCCAGAACCCTCTCCCTTTTCTCTAGAATCTCTCTGCCTAATAAATGCCATATTCTCACTTAATTAGCTTCAGCCTTACAAAGTGTGTGATGCCTAGCAGTCAGAGTCAGTCTCTGAAACTCGAGTTCCCCAATGACAGAGCATGTCCTGTTGATCTGGATTTTGTTTTTGGATCAATCTAACTGCACATCAATTATGCAGTGTCAGAAGTCTCTTTTGTTCTTTGAGAGGCTGTTATTTTAAAGCAAATGCTTAAATTGTTTCTTGCTATAATAGAAACAAGCTTCAAAATATTCAGGCCAGAACATTCAACAATTCTATATTAGCTTTGAAAAAGAATGATAGGATTCATTTGCAGGATTCATTTGCTGCATAACTTTAATAGCTCAATTCCATAGTCAAGATTTCAGTGATGACATACACTAGGACAATGCATTATACTTCCCATTATCTGACCACAATCTAATCCTGACATGCCAACTTAATACAAATTGTTGCCTCTAGTCCCTTTTGTTTATTGCAACAAACAATGACCTGAAGTTATGTCAGGCTAATGTGAAATAGAATATCACCACTATATATCAGAATTCTTGATAACATTATTATGGAAGATAAAAATGCATCCTATTGTTCTTAATCACATAGGATATAATTTAAAATCTGTATCTTCTACAAATCATGAATGTGAAAATTTTGCAAGCTCCAAGGTCACATTTTGCATTTTTCTATTAAGTAAGCCTATCTGATTTCATAAAGAACTAACTAATGTACAGTTATATTTCATGGTTCTACAATATACTCTCAATGAAAAGTCAACCAAAGCTTAAAGTATTTGGGCTTTCATATATTACAGTTATAATTTAGACCATTTTGAAGGTAAACATCATACTGCAAATCTACTACTGCTAGTCCACAGTTGGCTGCAATTGTGTAATTATAATAAGTGACAATATTTAGAATCTTTTGTGTATATTTATTATACTTATTTCATTTAATGCTATATTTGTTTATATGTTTATATAGACTGAGAGCATTCAAAACATTTCTCAGGAGTAAGCAATTTTATTCCTTGGTAGTACCCCGTTAATGAAACAGAACTCAAATCACTAAGAATTACACGTGTAAGGTTTTACAAATCATTATAAAATTTTTTTCATGTGTACAAGATAATACATTTTTGGTTTAATAATTGATTTTTTTCAATCAATTAAGGAAACCAACAAGTTATTGGAATTCTCTGAAGACCCATTAGGCTGGAAATCTACAAATAGGAAATTTACAAGTAAGAAATATTGTGTTCTCTACCTTCAGATTCCCAGCAGCAGTAAGAACTGACTTCACGGCTCTCATTCCATAGTCGTAGTGATGTTGAGATGACAGCTGCTCTGAACACAAGCGATACGTAGCCACAATTTTTACAGACAGTGGTCGAGCAGTGACAAACCCACAGGAGTATAGGACTATTTCAGCAATCATGGCATAGTCAGGTACCATCATTGCTACTGTCCGAAAGAGAGCCTATGGGTAGGT
Organism: Homo sapiens; assembly: GCF_000001405.40. NCBI lineage: Eukaryota > Metazoa > Chordata > Mammalia > Primates > Hominidae > Homo > Homo sapiens. Next base: position 195,900,507 of record NC_000002.12, read on the forward strand.
AGAAAGTTACTTTTAAAAGGATCATCATAAAATAAGCTAGGCATGGAAAGATAAATACCACACGCTCTCACTAATATGTGGAGGCTAAAAAAGTTTATCTCATAGAAGTAGAGAGTAAAATAGTGGTAACTAGAGGCTGGGAAAGGTGAGGTGGGGCAATGGGGAGAGGCTGGTTAACAAATGCAAAATTTCAGGTACATAAAAGAAATAAATTCTAGTGTACTGTAGCACTGTGGGGTGACTATAGTTAAAAATAATTTATTCTATATTTTTAAATAGCTAAAAGAGAAGAATTTGAATGTTTCCAACACAAATAAATGATAAATATTTGAGGTGATAGATACACTATACCCTGATTTGATCATTACACATCGTTTACATGCATCAAACTATCACTCTCTACTCAATAAATATATACAATTATTGTATGTCATTAAGAATAATTTTAAAAGGCAAAAATATATAAATAAAGAGGTTAGGGAATTAAATAAAAAGACCATTGTAAAGATAATCATGCTCTTTATTTCATAATGTTATGACTTTATACCTTTTCTACAATAGCATTAAATTTTAATGTTCATAGTCCATTAATAATAATGTATTATATTCTTGAAATTTGCCAAGAGAGTAGATCTTAAGTGTTACCAACAGAAAGAAAACAGAAAAAGTATATATGTGAGGTGGTGGGTAAGTTGATTGGCTTGATTAGGGGTATTGTTACACGATGTATATGTATATCAAAACATCACATTGTACACCTTAAATATGTATTATGTTTGTCAATCATACTTCAATAAAAAAATCATTGACCTGGAAGTTTAAAAAGTAAACAAATAAACAGACAAATTCCTGGCTTCTGAAAATATAAAATAAAATAAATTTTAATGTTCAAATCATATAGATAAAAAGCAACTTAAAAAATCAATTTCCTGTTGTGTATATAATAAATATATCATTAGCTTTTTGTATCAATTCTTTTTCGTCTAAGTGTTCAATTTCAATTACATTATATTCTTCATGGGAAGCAACATGTTACAGAACCTCAGACTCTCCCAGGATGTTCAAAAGTTGGGTTTCTCATCTGGGCTGCTGAGTGTCCCCACGTTGGGAGACCTGGCTTCAAGCGAGGCTCTACAGGGATCTACTTAATTATATAATCTAAGGTTTACCAGATTATGTTAGTGTTAGACAAATTATCCATTTTGAGATATTTTTAACTTTTTTGAATCTGAAGTCACAATGTCAGTCTTTCAACAAGCATAATAAAGGAAAGAAAACCGGAAATAAGTAATACACAATTATTATTAGAGATAAATCAATTTTACAAATTGTAAAGATAACTTTTTCTCATGATATTTAAAATACTGAGGTTATATGATGTTTTTGATGGTAAGTAAATAGAAAACAATATATTTTGAAAGAATAAATAAGAATTTAGGTATAGAATATTAGTATGTATGAGGACTCACTTCAATAGCTCATGTATTAAAACATGGCTTTCTTGTACAAAATATGGAAGACAGCAATATTCTAAGGGAAAAAGAAGTTATTCTAGTGAATGACAATCATAGTCAGATAGTTCATAAGTACATTCTGGGAATTAGTTGAATTACCAAAAACTCAAGGTAGATAGAAAATAAGAACATCTTGTTTAAATGATCTGTTATGACTCTTCTAAGTTGAGAACAATTCGAAGATTTGTATCAAGTAAGAACCTTCTAATGTGTTGTGTTAATTACTAGTTAGAGGCCATAGTGCTGCTATTTTATCAATAAGGTTACCATTAAAGAATGGAAAGAATAAAATGTTTAAAAAATATAATTTGAGCAAATAACTTGAAATAAAAAAGCTTAAGCAAGTGTTCTAACCACTACACACATCAGGGAAAAAAGAGCATGAGAATTGCTATACAGTTGGTATCTCTTTTAAAGGGTAGGTTCTCAACAACTACTTTTTTAAAGAATAAAAGAATGACTGAACTAACAAATCAGTCAGCCAGTCAATGGGGTTAGGGTGGTAAAGTTTTTCTACAATAGCACAAATTCCTACTAGTTTGAGGTCAACATCCAGGACTGTGTGTTGTAGGTTTCCCTTTGACCACCCTAGTTACTTCACAAATATCCTATTCACCTCTTAGCACTGTTAGCAATACGGTTGTGGAAAATGATGAAGCAGACATATTTCTGACTAGTAGAACAAAAAATAAAGTGAGGTAAACAAGTGTCAAGGGGTATCATGATATTCCATTTATTAGGAGTCCTCCACCAACGATTGAACAATGATACTTAACACAATGAAAAACATCCTGATTGAAATATTTTTTAAGCCTAAACCAGTGATTCTCAAACAGGTTGTGCAGCATACAGATATAATGTTATAATGTGGTTCGATTTTGGATGTACCAGAAATAATTTGTTGGTAATAGCAGTAAGTTTGAAGATAATTTAGTGCTTTGTTAAAAAAATTAAATTGGATTCTAGCTTAACCAGTGACATAGTTTGTTGAGTGTGAAAACAAAGAGGGTACAGAGCCAGGTAACATGCCAAGACTTGAGTAAATTCCAGTGCATGTAATCCATGTGAACATAATCTTCATGTTTATCTCAGCAAAAATAAATGATCAAGAATAGCTGTTCTACTGCTTCTGCTCTATTGGTGGAGGAAGGGGGGTGGTACATAAGGAAATGTGTATACTTTCTGGAGCATGCTTTCAAAGGACTACATATTGGTACAATAAAAAAAAAATTAAGCAATAACTTTTTACCATTTACTTTTAAGGAACTGCAAATCGATTTTATAAATATTTTGATCTGTTCAGGAACAAGCTGGATTTTAGTTGAATGAAATGGAGGATTTAGGATCTACTTTGTTTTTTTCCCCTCAATACTATTAGTGTTTCACCCTACATATACTCTGAAAAGCTATGTATCACTTTATTGGCTTTGTGACATTAGGAGATCTAGAATGTGTCTATTTTACCGTGGCTTCTAACAAACTATTCTAAAATGATCATTGACTACTGATTCTTCAGAATAGTTTAAATCTAAAATATAGCTTCTCTAAAGTGAAGATGTATTTAATAAATTGCTTTATTATGCAGATTTTGTCTAAATGTAACAGGATGTCAAAATGGGACTCTTTCTGTATGATATGATACATCAGTTACTACAGTAAGTATGATCTTCTCAATATACAAAATCTGCAAAGGAAATGTCTACAACCTTGAACCCTCTCGTCTACTTGTAGATTACAAAATACTTGAGAGAGGAAGGAGTTGTGAAAATATTCCCTTTGAAGGGAGCTGTCGTTATGCTCTGAGTCCCCACAACCCTCCTCACTACACCCAAGTTCTGTGAGAGCTTGGTAGATACTCCTGCATTTCGGGAGACATGGACTGGTGCCTGACTCATGTCTGAAAAAGGATAGTGACCTGTGGTAGCAGGATTAATACCCAGGGTTTATTGGGAAAAGGATTTATGAGCGGTACACAACAAAGAAGGGCCACACTGAAGCTCTATAAGTGCTGCCCTACATACCTTCTGGCAGAGTGAGAGCTCTCCAACAGTGAAGTTTACATGGAGTTGACCACAGAGATCCAGGCAAAGAGAAGGCAATGACAACTGGAGAAACAGAATCCATCACTCAAGCCTCAGGAATTACAAGTAGACTCCTCCTAATGGGAGAGTCTCTGAAGAACCCATGGACATGCACATGACAGAACTCAGCTATAAATCTCAGCCAAGTCCAGGGACTTCACCCAGAAGGTCAGATCTGAACTGTACATATGTTTAGCGTTTACTGCTAGTTTAAAGGATGACCATGAATTTGTCAGACAGGAAAGAGGAGGCTTAGAGGAGCACTTGAGAGAGAGAAAATAGCATGTAGAAAGGCAAGGGACCTTCAGAGGCTAGTGAGGCCCAGTGTAACAGACAGAGGCAGGGAAATGGCAGGACAGATGCAACTGAGTCCTTATGCCAAGGCTCTTGTAGATTGTACTAAGAAATGTGAACTTTAGTCCATGGACAAAAAGGAGCCCAGCAGTTTTTTAAAGCTGAAGATTATATGATTAGATTTCTTTTGATAGATAACACTGGTAGCACTGTGATGGGGAATTCATTATAATGAATTTCAATAGAGAAGAAATTGATGACAAGTGAACTATTGCAATAAGACATATGGGAGAAGACAGAAGGCAGGGAGCAGCAAGGTGTGGCAGGGGGACCAGGTCAGTACAGCAGGGATTGTAGGAGTTGTGTGAAATGGAAACCCTGGGCTTGGTGACTGACTGAATCACCAGGTGAAACAGAGGGAGTTTTTGAGAATGATTCCGAAAACTGGTAATGATACTTTCTGGGCCCCATCAGGCTTTTATTATTTTTTAAGGAATATGTAACTCTTTCATTTCAGACTTGTTAGGTAATTGGTATTTCCATATATACCTGAAAACAGATGCTCTGTAGAAGCTTGAACCAAGAAGGCTGCACAATAGGAGAAGCTATGAGAATTGAGAACAGCTTTTGGCCTCATGTAGAAGGAAAATACATTATCCCCAAGAACTACCAGGTGAATATGTTAGCACTGTTTCAACCTGCACAGTAAATAAAACCATGGAAAAGTCTGCAGAGGGCATTAACAAACTCAACCAATAATGGCTCCCAGCTTTCTATAACAAGCTACTCACAGATTTTTGCTTTTCCTACCTTTGCAAATTTACATATTCAGATTGATCCTACCAAATAAATGAATAACATAGCGAACAAATACAAGAACTGCAACAACAACAAGAAAGGCTTTCCAAAAGAAAATGCCAAATAAAACTTGTAAAATGTTTCTTAGATAGAAGAGGATTTACCATTTTTCATTTGTTAATCATGCCTTCCTTCACTAAAGCAAAATCCTAAAACATAAGACTTAACATATAAAGGGGCATGAAATGGAAATACAAAAACACTTGGCAGCAATTAGTCATATCAAGTCTTTTTGGTGGAAAAGAAAAACTGCTCATTTAGTCTGGGAAGCTGTCAGTCTAAGCATGTGAAGTGTGGAAGTAATATAGGATCTAGTCAGGAGATTTGGTTTTGGATCCACAATTACTATTGCATTATTCTTCAACATTGCTGTCTGTATATGTGCCATACATATGCAATTCATCAGAAAAGGATATAAAATGGTTAACCAAAATATGGGGAAAATGTCATATTTTACTAATAATCAAAGAAAATGGTGTGTTTTTTTTTAAAGTAAAGTCTGGTCAATTCAAGAAAGTGTTTTGTTCTTTTTCATTAAAAAATTAATGCTGGGTGTCAATGAAAATTGAGAACTGATATGGGATGAAAATCATTTCAACCTGTCTTGGAGCACAATTTAGCAATAAATATCTTAGTCCCATGACTCCATCTAAAGAAATATTTCAAAATAGAGAAACGCCTTTAGTAAAAACTACTCATTGTGATATTATTTATAATGCAGGAAAACTGAAAGCACACTGAATGTCCAAAAGTAAGCTACAGTTCAGTAAATGTATTAATAGTTGGAATTATGCTTATAAAGATGGGAACGTGCTCATGATATAATATTAACGTGAAAAAAACCCACCAAGCATACACAATAGTGTGTTTCCAGCATTGTAAAAAGGCATTTAAAAGTAGGGGGACACAATCTACAGTAAGCAGTAGAATGGGTACACCCTTAGCATTTTTCTATATTTTGTAATTTTTCAAAATTAGCACTATTTTAAAAATAAATATTTTGGGAATTGTTCCTGGTGTGGATATTTACTCTGTAAAAATACTCAAAGCTTTAAAAATTGTTTTCTAAAACAATTTTCTAAAACATTATAGCTAAAACAAAATATTTTACATAAACTCAAGGATAGCATATTCTTTCTTTTCACATACACACAGAAACACACACACACACACACACTTTTAAAATATTTTCTTTCTTTCTTTTTTTTTTTTTTTTTTTTTTAAGAGACAAGGTCTCACTATGCCCAGGCTGGTCTCAAACACCTGAGTTCAAGTGATCCTCCCACCACCTCAGCCTCCTAAAGTGCTAGGATTATAGGCGTTAGCCACCACGCCCAGCTCTTTTCATATATTAACTTTGTAAATTATAGAGAAGAAATAGATTATATAATAACTCCTTCCATACCTTCAGGTTATCTGGCAGTTCTGATCGCCCAGCATACCCAGGGTTCATTGTTATAAAGACAGCACATGTGGGGTCAAGTTTTAGTTCAGTTCCTTCAAACATCAGTATATCAGCACCTGCATTAATACCTGTAGGTAATCAGGAATGAAATGACTTAGTAATACCACATATAAACATGAGCTGTGCCATTCACTACCTCTCATATTTCTTTTATTTTCACATAATGCAAAGACAAACTAGTCCATTACCTCTTTGGATAGTAAGGATTTGTTGAGCAACCACAGAGAGTACTTCCAAATCAATTCTGTTAAACTCATCAAAGCAAGCCCAGGCTCCACAAGATAACAGTCCCTATGAGAAAAGAGTAATGAAAATTTTTGACTTTATCTGATTCAATGTTGCAATGAAATGTTGTATTTTCACCTGATCTTTTCAAGGATTTAATATCCTGTCAAAGAAATTGCTTATTCGCCTTTATCTTTAAAGGCAGCTGATTTTTTCATTATCAATTCATTATTCTGCACGAATAAAAGAGTTTGATCAATTGGAAAATTTTCCAATTAACATTTTTCTCCTTTCTGCATTTTTTTTTTAGCATTTAGACATACACCTATAATCTCAAAGCCTTTCCTGCTTTTTATTTACAAGTTGATTTTACTTGCTTACTCCACATGGATTTTATAGCATAGGTTATAATAACCATCCAAATAAGATGACTTCTGTTGCCAGTGAGACTGCCTTGTGGTTTGAGCACCTTAATAGCCAACTACCACAGTTTAAGGCCCTAGTTTGCGGTCCTAACCCACAGCTACCTCACAGATATGTGCCATTCGATCATAAGGAAAAACTGGAAAATCAAGCATGAGTAGTTTCATCTGAATTCAGATCTACTTTTAAAAACATCAAATGATTCAACAAATATGTACTGAACATACATTTTATAGATTGTGTGTGTGCATGCAAGCACACACATGCATATGTTATATCGAGTACACTGTATGTGCCAACCGTGACTCACAGCACTTCATATGCATATTTTATGCAAGGACACTAAGGCTATACCATATGAGATGTTAAATAATTAGCACAAAGCCACACAGATTATAGCAGCTGACCTTGGATTTTTACACATTTCATTCTTCCGAACCACACTGGATTGTACACGAACTCTATGGATGTCAAAGAATAGTACATTCTCATTAGTTGGAGAAGACCCTATAAATGACTTTGACCTCTAATGCATGGCGACAGATCACAGAGAACAGAATGCTTTGGATGTCATATTCAAGCAGTTATATACATTTTGAGATTCTTGATAATAAAAATCATGTCTAATTTTCTACCCCCATTATTCAGCTAAATGCCTACACAAAGAAGCTATTTACAAATACTAATAAGCAAATTTAATACTATTAAGTTTATGACTCTAAATAAAAGAATGAAGACGGTCATTACATAGATTCAAAAACTGAGCAATATATACCAGACATTTCTTTAGACATTTAATAATGTGATGGCTATTCAAACTGCATGTAGAATTCTTTAGTTTTGTTATTTTTTTCTTTCATTTATATATTTTTATTTGTACAAATTTATGGAGTATGTGTGCAATTTTGCTACATGCATAGACTGCATAGTGACTGAGTCACTATGCAATTTGGTATCCCTTACTTGAATAACATACACTGGTATCATACCATTTTGGTATCCATACCATTTTATGGTATCCAACACCTGCATAACATACATTGCCCCTAATCTCTCATCACACCCCTCTCCCACCTTCGCGCCCTTCCATTTCTATCATTCTACTCTCTACAGCCATGTGTACAGATTTCTTAGCGCCCACTTATGAGTGAGAACATGGGATATTTGACTTTCTGTGCCTGGCTTGTTTCATTTAAGATAATGACCTCTAGTTCCATCCATGTTGCCGCAAAAGACATGATTTCATTCTTTTTTATGGCTGAATAGTATTTCATTGTATAGATATACCCCATTTTCTTTATCCATTTCTCCACTGATGGACACTTAGGTTGATTCCATATCTTTGCTATTGGGAATATTGCTCATTTCAACAAGGTTGTAAATCATTACAGAGAATGAATTAAAATGTTAATTGGTCATTTAAATGTTTTCATATTTTATTAATTATAATTTTGAGCTTTTAAAAGTTCTAATTCTAATTGTTCCAGTATCACAAATGGAAAGTAATTAAACTCCAGATCAGTCATATTCCAGCCAGGAACAGTTTACTGCATGGGTGAGGGTTGGTATATTCTATTTTGCTAGTTTGTTTATCTTTTTTAATGTTAACTTTTTCTGGAGAAAATTTGGAAACGTAAACATTCTAGAATTTTTAAAATGTGCTTTGCATGTACACGGACACAAAGAAAAGAACAATGGACACTGGGGCCTGTTTGAGGGTGGAGGGTGGGAGAAGAGTGAGGATTGAAAAACTACCTATTGGCTATTATGATGATTATCTGGGTGACAAAATTATCTGTACACCAGATAAACTCTCGCAACACACAATCTACCCATGTAACAAACCTGCACCTGTACCCCTGGAACCTAAAATAAAAATTGGAAATAAAAATAAAATAAAATGTGCTTTGAAAAATTACAGAAAAACATAAATAAATATATAATTTCAAGTGGATCATTTTGTGTTCAGTTGTGTCACCTAACATTTTAAGGAATAACAGGCTACAGACACAAGCTGCTAAAATAATCAGATGTTTATAGGTTTATAGGCAGGGACTTGGTATCTCTAATTCTACCTTTTGAAGCTCATGGACTGACAAGAATCTAACTTAGAATTTAAAAAAAGTAATACACTGATTTGATCTTTAGGAATTATTAAATTAGCACATGTAACCTGAAAATATGTACATCTATAATGTATAAAAATAAATTTTTAAAAATAAAAACAAATAATAAAACTTAAGATTTCAAGTTCACTGAAATGACTGATTAGAATATGTCTATAAAAGTAAATTACTAACTCAAAATAACTTCTCAATAACAAGATCTGTAGGTTAAAGATGTCTTTAGAATCCCACGACCTTTACACGATGCAATCGTTCTCAAACTCTTATCTGCTCCAATGTATTTAAGGGACACCACTTATTCCAACCAGTAATAATGACTTGTTACAGTAGGGACTGGAGAGGAAAGTAGAGATTCTCTGCAAATAGGGTTTTGCTATAACCTTATTTCCTTTAAGAATTATTGAGATAGTGCTTCAATTTTTACTTTTACTTAAGCTACAGTAAATCTTTTACTTGTATTCAATTATGTTGCATCATAAATAACCATCTCTGATCAGTTATCCTGTTGTAAAGAAATGAGGAGTTAATTCAAACCTTAAAGAATTTTCCCAAAGCCAAATAATCCAACCCATCAGAGCAGTTGAAAACAACACATTGTTTGGCTACAGCTTTTGCCAAATCCTTGGTAGTTTCAGTCTTCCCAGTGCCAGCTGGACCCTCAGGTGCTCCTCCAAGGTGCAAATGAAGGGCTCCAAATAAGGTTCTGAAACATATGAAATAGACATTCTTTGTAGAATAATGTGATTTTTTTTCCATTCACATGCCAAGAAGAGAAAAAGGTTAAATTGAGAACCAAACCTCCAGCTTCCTCTTTGATAATTTCTTCCTTCCCAGTAACCTCTGAAAATCTCTGATAGTTCATTACTTTGTCTGTTATTATATTTTATTTCTGAATAGCTATATATATGCCACATTGAGAACAAATTCACTTTTGAAATTTAATGTTGATTTCTGGCCAATATGAAGAATTCAGTTGACTTTGAATCCCCTAATTCGCCAACTGTAAGCATATGGAAATGTTACAGATAAGAAAACAAATAATAATTTAAAATACATGGCCATTTTTGAAAGAATGAAAAGAAAATTACCAACGAAGAGGGAATGCAAAGCCGGAGAATTAGACACTAAAAGATTGTTTCGGGATCAGTATATAAATAAATGAGTATATTTATGCTCAGATAGAAACAGAAAATAAACCCTCAGAAGTGAGCAATGTGGGGAGCTGGAATGGATCCACCTATATAAATCTAGAAGTCTTGAAAGGCTGTCTTGTCTCTAAATGGAAACTAAAATCACTCCAGCAACCTACTGGAGAGAGACAAAGAAGAGTCAATTATGGAAGAGACAAAGAAGCCTATCCTTCATGCGGGGCCTGATGAAAAGCTTGTATCATTTGTGCAGGGAAAAAGAGGTCCAAATTTCTACTAGTCATGGGCACATTAATCCAAAATGATAAATTAACATTTTGTTCTGAACCAGAAAAAAACTCTAGAGTCTTCCTCAGAGATAAATATGAAACTGCTCCTTATGGACACCTCCACGGGTGACAACATGCAAGACTGCATGGGGAAACAATCACTACTAAAACCAGCTCACAGTTCAAACAGGAGAGAGAGATCAGAGTTAGGAGTCAGCCTTGCTGTGGCAAAAGCAATGGACAAAGAGTGTTATTATATAAATGGCGTCCTACTCTCTATGGTATCCTGGCGGTCTGTTAAATGAGATTTTAAATATAAAGCAATAGACATCAAAAAATTGTGAGAGAAAAACAGAAGCCAATTTTATAAATGAGACAATTTGAAACTCTAGCAATAAAAATATAATTTAAAAACTCAGTGAACAAGTTAAATAGCAGAATAAACATAAGGAAACAGAAAATTATGCACTGAAAATTACTCAAAGAGATACAGAGACTGAATGTAAGAAAAGTTAAGAGACATAGAAGGAAGAAAATGGGGAAGAAGCAAAATTTAAACAGCAATGACTGATAATTTTTCAGAATTCAAGAAAAACATGAATGGAAAAAGGCCCAAATAGGATAAATAAAAACTAATCTACATCTAGTAACTTTACAGTGAACATCAACAATAAAGAGAAATCTTAAAAACTATAACAGAGAAAAGAAAATTACCTACAAAAGAATAAGAATAACAGGGACTTACCAGCAGTAGCCATGGATGCCAGGAGAATAACGAGTTTTAAGGGCTGAGGGAAAACTACTGTTCATCTACACTTCTATACCTAGCTACTCTGTCATTTAATAACTGAGCAAAGACACACAAAGAAGCATTTTTAGACAAAGACTGATAGAGCTCATTACTTGCAGAGCCTCCCTGGAACAATTACTAGAAGACATTGCCTAGTAAGGGGAAGAAAATTAAACCAAAAGTAAGGCAAAGCAAGAAGCACTGGTGAGTAAAGAAAATGATAAAAATTTTTGGTAAACCTGTATATTAATAGTAAAAAATATGTAACACTCTATTTAATAGGGTTCTTTCTTGGAATTTTGACTAAAGCCCCAAGCTGAGAACAATAAATACCATCTCATCTTATCTTATAGATGGTGAAGTTGGTTTGGAACATTAGCTATCATCAGGGCATATAAAAGTTAGATAAGAAGACCGTAAGTGAGTGATCAGGAGTGAGGACTTCTTTGGAAAGAATCATTGGTGTGTTGTGTTTTTTACCTCTCTCTGTATGGTGGAAGAAAGAGCAGCACTTTTCCCTCTCCCAAGCTAACAGAGGGGCCTTTGAGACTGCTCAGAAAACTCGACACACCATCTGCCCCTTGGATTTTCTAGAGCACAGAAACTGAGTGCTGACTCACAACCGAAAACATTTCAAGCTGAAAAGATGCCTGGAACTTCTCCTGATGGCAGAATGGGAGAAAAGAAACAGAGAGATGTGTTCCCACTGCTGGCAAAACAAATGTATGTCTATCACCTGGCCAGGTCCAGATCCCGAGAGCCAGATTTGAGTCACACTGAATGGGACCCTATGCAGAAGGCCCATCTGAAACAGGAGAAAATCCCCAAAAGAGGGTCTGTGTGTGGTGAGCCTCAGAGGCTGAAGCAAAAGCCACCTGCGGCCAGCCCGAGAAGGCATTTTCCACAGGTGGGAGAATCCGGTCACTGGAAGGGCTTTAAGGAACCCGCATAAACATCCCTTGGAAGATCTGGCACATCTGGGCTTGTGCCATCACCAAGACATCACTATACAGCCAAGAGATAGTTGTCACACAAGACACTTGTCACATATAAACCTACTTCTTTCTGTTTTCTCCCCTTCAACCTCCAATACTGGGGGAAGCAAAAGATAAGCTATTGAGGGATGAAACCAAGGACAGGGATAAAAATAGCTAAAAATTGAGCACATCTATTTTCCAAATTCAGGCTCTCAGCCTGAGTCAGGCTTGAGTTGAGGGAGAAGGGAGCTTTAAATTGGATGGGAGCTATTATTAATTTTGATTAGCTGTAAGTGGACTTTTATTATTTTAAAAAATGACACTTATAATTAATATTTTAGAGTGACCAGAAAAGCTAGGGAATCTACCCTAGATTTCATTCAGGAATGAGAAATATTTATTTAATAGAGCAACTTTAAAAAAAACAGTAATAAGAAAGAATAAAATTGCTTTCTGCTTGCATCCTAAAACTGGTTTACTCAATAAACTACTTAAAATGACTAATTTTCTGGAAAGAAATTTAAAAACAAAGTTTAATTTAGTATTTGGAATATAAGAGATAGGAACCTGGAGTTAAAGTAGTTAAAGACATTTTATTATTCAGAAAGGGAATAGAGATATTTATTAACTTTAGGCTTTATTAAGCAAAATAGGCATTCTTTAAATGTAAGATAACCTTTAAGAGAATAGAAACAGCATCCTATATCATAGCCCATATCATATCCCACGTTATATCCGTATCAAATGAGATAAATGAATAAAGAAAACTCAATCACTTAATAAAAGATAGGACATGAGAAAAACAAAGCAAAACAAAATAAAATGTTAAACTTGGAGAATATAAAGCACAAAATAAGATGATTTAAAGAAGTCCAAATAGTTTATGAATCACATTAAATATAAATGTGTTATACTTGGTAGTCAGTCAAAGAATACAGAGCCAGCCCCTCTTCATTTTCATTTGGCTAAATCTCCTTATCCTTCAATATTAGATCTCCTAATATAAGATCTCCATCCACATGTTTTTGTTGCTGTTGTTGTTTGGTTTTTTGTTTTGAGACGGAGTCTCGCTCTGTCGTCCAGGCTGGAGTGCAGTGGCGCAATCTCGGCTCACTGCAACCCTCCGCCTCCCGGGTTCAAGCGATTCTCCTGCCTCAGCCTCCCAAGTAGCTGGGATTACAGGTGCCCACCACCATGCCCAGCAAGTTTTTGTATTTTTAGTAGAAACGGGGTTTCACCATGTTGGCCAGGCTGGTCTCAATCTCCTGACCTCGTGATCTGCCTGCCTTGGCCTCTCAAAGTGCTGAGATTACAGGCGCGAGCCACCGTGCCAAGTCGCAGATCTTTTATTAACCATTTCCTTCTCAAAGCATTCCCCCATGAATTTCCATTCCCCTATGAATTTCCATTCCCCTCTGGATTAATATATCTGTAGCACCTAATGTTTACCTCTAATATTTCACTCAGTACACTGTATTGTAATTGTTTTTTAAACTGACTTTCCCATCTGACTGAAAAATGTTTAAATACAGAAACTCTATATCTTTTCTCTATCAAGAGCACTACTAAAGTATGTGGTATATAGTAGCTAATCAAAATTGCTTCTTGGATTGATAGGTGAAATTTAAGAATTATTTTTTCTCACAGTTACTTGCTAGATATACACATGTAATGTTAACTGTAAAGGGATTCCTATATTGTAAAATCTATAAAGACTTCCACTGGGTACAAGGTACAGCTGTAAGCAATTGCACTAGTGTTAGATCCTGTATAGGTTCTTCAAGTGATTGGGCCTGCCCCTGTGCCATACAATTGGCATGATATCAAAGAAGATTCCAGTACAACTGCATTGTTCTTGGCCTTAATTCTGAACCACTTGCCCTGATTCATTTGATGCTTCATAAATAATAGTCCTACCAGGCCAATGAGGAAGACTCACACATTAAGCACTATCCTCTATCTGAAAAACATCATTTTATTTTATTTACTTATTTATTTATTTTTTGAGACAGAATCTTGCTCTGTCACCCAGGCTGGAGTGCGGTGGCAAAATCTTGGCCCACTGCAACCTCTGCCTCCTGAGCTCAAGTGATTCTCCTGTCTCAGCCTCCCAAATAGCTGGGATTACAGGCATGTACCACCATGTCCCACTAATTTTTGTATTTTTAGTAGACAGGGTTTCACCATGTTGGCTAGGCTGGTCTCAAACTCCTAACCTCAGGTGATCCACCCGCCTTGGTCTCCCAAAGTGCTGGGATTCCAGGCTTAAGCCACCATACCTGGCCAAAACATTTACAATTCTAATCATTCTCTAGGAAACAATATAATTTAAAACTGCTTTTCAGTTTGTGGATATTCAATACATTTTATTAAATGCCTGCGTTATGCCAGGAAACGAGTTGGTGCTGGGGAGAGAGAGAAAAATAGGGCACAATCTTTGTCCATGAAAAGACTACAATAAAGAATATCAGATATATCAAATATATTTTCAATCCATTATGATGAGTGCTATGACAGAAGAAGATACATGGTGTGATGAGAATCACTGAGGAGAGATTCGTAATGTAGGGAATGTCAGAGAAAGGCTACCTGTAAAAGGTGATGTTCCAAAGGATTAAGTAGGAGTTAGTTGTATTTATTGAGGAACAAAAGAAAGGGAGAGAACTTGCCAGGGAAACAAGAGACTGTGTGCACAGGTAGTGAGTGAAGAAGTAGAATGGTATGCATAAGAAAGAGTTTGGTGTTACTGGAATACTGAGTCCAATAGACAGATTATATTGCACCTCATATACTATATCAGAACTTAAAAAATTGGGAAGATATTAAAGTAGCTAATAGGATGGTGCTATTAGAGCCAATGAGAAGAAAAGAGTATTGAGCAGAATCTTTCTATCTTTCCTCTTTTATTGACTATATCAGCCATATGAAGGAAACTTATATCAAAACTTCTAATTTCTCACTCCATCCATATTGTACTTAGGAGGTCAAATCCTGACATAAATGGGACCCTGTTTAAGTAGTGGTTGGAGTCATCGTGTGGCTCTCATTCCCCATCTGCAACTAGATGAATTAGATCCACTATTTTTTCTCTTGGATTCAGTTCTTCAGCCATATGGAAAGCATGCATGCTTAGCTTCAAGGAGCAGGAAATAATCAGTCATCTTCAAGCTAGGCTACATTCTTCAATCCAGATTATACATGAGAGCTCTGAATTGAGGATCAGATAATTGCTCAGCCACTTATAAACTAATAGTTTATTTTCCATTACTTTAGCTCTTTAGGTGCTCTGAAAGGAAGAAAAATGTAGATTCCAAATTCCTAACACATATTTAAGAAACATTTCTAAAATAAAATCAGATCTTTGACAAAGGAGCAAGGGCAATTTTATGGAGAACAGACAGTCTTTTCAACAAATGGTGGTGAAACAACTGGAAAAAGTGAATCTAGACACAAAATTAATTCAAAATGGATCACAGACTTAAATGTAAAACTTAAAACTATACAACTTCTATAAGACATCATCAAAGAAAATCTAGGTGATGCTGGGTTTGATGATGACTTTTTAGATATGATGCCAAAAAGCATGATTCATGAAAGAAAACTTGAAAAATTGGACTCATAAAGGTAAAAATTATCTGTGAAAGTCACTATTTCTTTTCTTTTTTTTGAGACAAGGTCTCACTCTGTCACCCTGGCTGGAGTGTGGTTGTTACAGTAGGTAGTCAGTCAGACATAAGTAGGGCAGGAGAGGGCTCCTCCCACCCCCCCACCCCTGCCCCACCAGGAATGTCAGGCGACCGTCAGGTGATGGTCAGGCAGTTGTTAACGGTCTCTCTAAAATAATAGTTGGTCATAGTCAGCTCCAGGGAAAGGCAGACTCACAATAAACAGAAACACCTGGCTGGGCACAGTGGCCCACACCTGTAATCCCAGCACTTTGGGAGGCCGAGGTGGGTGGATCACTTGGGGCCAGGAGTTTGAGACCAGCCTGGCTAAAATGCTGAAACCCCATCTCTACTAAAAATATAAAAATTAGCTGAGCATAGTGGTGCATGCCTGTAGTCCTTGCTACTCGGGAGGCTGAGGCAGGAGAGTCATTTGAAGCCTGGAGACGGAGTTTGCAGTGAGTCAAGATTGCGTCAGCCGGGCGTGGTGGCTCACGCCCGTAATTCCAGCACTTCGGGAGGTGGAGGCGGGCGGATCACGAGGTCAGGAGATCGAGACCATCCTAGCTAACATGGTGAAACCCCGTCTCTACTAAACAAAATACAAAAAATTAGCCAGGTGTGGTGGCGGGCGCCTGTAGTCCCAGCTACTCGGGAGGCTGAGTCAGGAGAATGGCGTGAACCCAGGAGGCAGAGCTTGCAGTGAGCCGAGATTGTGCCACGGCACTCCAGCCTGGGCAACAGAGTGAGACTCCACCTCAAAAAAAAAAAAAAAAAAAAAAGATTGCATCACTGCACTCCAGTCTGGGTGACAAAGTGAGATTCCATCTCAAAAAAAAAAAGAAATATCTGAAGCTGGTGATCAGCAGCTTCCCGATAAGATCTCAGGAGTTGGGCAAGTGGGCTCACAAATGCACACTGAGAGAGTCAAATGGCGGAGTTTGACAGGTATATGATCTCCTAGGGACATTCAGCTGGTAAGGGAAACACACCTCAAGTGAGCATGGGTACAACTCCAGTAAACACACTGCACATGCTCCCCTCCCAAGTGCTGGCAGGCCACTGCACAGGTGGACAGCCCACCCTAAGAAAAGAATCACAGGAGAAAGAACACAAGACCACAGAAGCATGTCAAGTCAAAAGGTCAAACTGTGCACTTGTCTTTCAAGTTGTCCACTTGGCCCTCTTCCAAGTGTACTTTCCTTCCTTTTGTTTCTGCTTCAGAGCTTTTTAATAAACTTTTACTCCTGTTCTAAAACTTGCCTCAATCTCTCCTTCTGGCTTATGCCCTTCTGTCAAATTCTTTTCTTCTGAGGAGGCAAGGAATTGAGGTTGCTTCAGACCTACATGGCTTTGCCACCAGTAACATGGTGGCTTTATCATGGCTCACTACAGCCTCAACTCCTGGACTCAAGTGATCCTCCTGCCTCAGCCTTCAATGTAGCTAGGACTAAAGGTGTGCACCACCATACTTGACCATTTTTTGTTTGTTTGTTTTACATTTTTTGTAGAGATGGGAGTTTTGCTATGTTGCCCAGGCTGGTCTTGAATTCTTGGTGTCAAGTGATCCTCCTCCCTTGGCCTCCCAAAGTGCTGGAATTATAGGTGTGAGCCACTGCACTCAGTCAAAAGATAGTATTTAGACAATACAAACGCAAGCTACATACTGGAAGGAAATATTTGCAGAAACACGTATCAGATAAAAGACTTGTATTCAAAATGTACAAAGAACACTTAAAACTTAACAAAAGAAAAATAAACAACCCAATTACAAAATGGACAAAAGATCTGAACAAACACCTCACCAAAAGAGGTATCCATATAAAAATAAACATATAAAAAGATGCTCAGCATCATATATCATTAGGGAATTGCAAAATAAAGCAAAATGAGATGCCACTACACATCTATTAGAATGACTAAAATCAAAAGCATTGACAACACCAGATAGGAACTCTCATTCACTGCTGATGGCAATGCAAATGGAGTTCCAAAGTATAGCCACTTTGGGAAACAATCTAGCAGTTTCTCACAAAGCTAAACATAGGCTTAGTGCATGATCCAGCAATCATGCTCCTAGTTATTTACCCAAATGAGTTTAAAACGATGTCCACCCAAAAACCTGCACAAGAATATTTGCAGCAGCTTTATTTATAATCACTGAAACTTGGAAGCAACCAAGATGTCCTTCGACAGGTGAATGGATAAATTGTGTTACACCCATATAATAAAGTATTATTTGTCAATAAAAGTGTGTTATCAAGCTGCAAAAAGACATGGAGGAAACTTAAATGCATATTGCTAAGTGAAAAGAGACAGTATGTATAATTCTAGATACTATATGACACTTTGGAATATATATACATGACAAAAATGGTCAGTGGTCGACAGGGGTTCTGCGGGAGAGGAGGAGGAAATTATATGTGGAGCAAGGGGGCATTTTTAGGGCAGTAAAATTATTCTTTAGTAGTGGATATATGACATTATGCATTTGTCAAAACCCACAGAACTCTACAACGCAGTAGACCCTGATATAAATTGTATAAATTGTGGACTTTAGTTAACAGGCATGTATCAATATTGGTTTATCAATTATAACAAATGTACCACACTAATGAAAGATTTTGGGCCAGGCGCAGTGGTTCAAGTGTGTAATCCCAGCACTTTGGGAGCCCGAGGCTGGCAGATCACGAGGTCAGGAGATCAAGACCATCCTGGCCAACATGGTGAAACTCTGTCTCTACTAAAAAATACAAAAAATAGCTGGGTGTGGTGGTGCACGCCTGTAATCCCAGCTACTCGGGAGACTGAGGCAGGAGAATCACTTGAACCAGGGAGTCGGAGGTTGCAGTGAGCTGAGATCACGCAGCCTGGAGACAGAGCAAGACTTTGTTTAAAAAAAAAAAAAAAAGATGTTAATGGAAGAAACTGGGTGGGATAGAGAGAGGTTAGGAATTCTCTACTTTCTGCATAATTTTTCTGTAAATCTAAAATTACTCTTTAAAAAGTCTTTTTCTTTTTTAAACAGAGTCTTGCTCTGTCACCCAGGCTGGAGTGCAGTGGCACAATCTCGGCTCACTGCAGCCTCCACCTCTTGGGTTCAAGTGATTCTTCTACCTCAGCCTCCTGAGTAGCTGGGACTACAGATGCACACCACCCCACCCAGCTAATTTTTATATTTTTAGTAGAGACAGGTTTTCACCATGTTGGCCAGACTGGTCTCAAATTCCTGGGCTCAAATGATCCATCCACCTCATCCTCCCAAAGTGCTGGGATCACAGGCATGAGCCACCACACCAGGCCAAAAAGTCTACTTTTTTAAAGGAAGAGAATTAAATAAATACATTTAATTCAATTAAATCAGTAGGGCTTACTGTGTGCCTACATGTGAAGAACTGAGAAAGAATTGAGGACAAAACTAGGTATTTATAGAGATGACTGGGTTGATAAATAGCCACTGTCATTTCCTGAGATGGGACTAGGGGAGGCTGAGTGAATTTGGGAGGTAAAATGGTACATTTGCTTTTAGAAGAAATGTAAATGTAAGTATCTATGAGATATCAAATGGAAGTATCAAGTAGGCTTGTGTATAGCAAGCTTATAGGAGAGACCTTGGCCAGAGGTACAGATATGGGGTCTTCAAGATGTAGGCCATTAAAGCATGGGACTGGATGAGAACATTCAGAAAACCACAAGGCATGAGATAAATCACTACATGAAAACAGAACTCTTGAAAACTCAGTGTTTCTAGCCCATTCTCATGGATCAATATTGTGATAATGACCATACTGCCAAAAGCAATCTACAGATTCAATACAATTCCCACATCAAAATGCCATGGTCATACTTCACAGAACTAGAAAAAAAAATCCTAAAATTCATATGGAAGCAAAAAAGAGCCTGCCTAGCCAAAGCAAAACTAAGTGAAAAGAACAAATCTGGAGGTATCACATTACCCAACTTCAAACTACACTATAAGGCTATAGTTACCAAAACAGCATGGTACTAGTATAAAAATAGGCACATAGGCACACAGACAAATGGAACAAAACAGAGAACCCAGAAATAAAGCCAAATACTTCCAGCCAACTGATCTTCAACAAAGCCAACAAAAACGTAAAGTGGGGAAAGGACATGCTATTCAACAAATGTGTTGGGATAACTGGCAAGCCATATGTAGAAGAATGAAACTGGATCCTCAGCTCTCACCTTATATAAAAATCAACTCAAGATGGATCAAAGACTTAAATCTAAGACCTGAAACCATAAAAATTCTATAAGCTAACATTGGAAAAATCCTTCTAGACATTGGCTTAGGCAAAGAGTTCATGACCAGGAACCCAAAAGCAAATGCAACAAAAACAAAGATAAATAGATGGGACTTAATTAAACTAAAAAGCTTCTGCACATCAAAAGAAATAATCAGCAGAGTAAACAGACAACCCACAGAGTGGGAGAAAATATTTGCAAACTATGCATCTGACAAAGAACTAATATCCAGAATCTACAAGGAACTCAAATCTGCAAGAAAAAAATAACTAATCCCACAAAAAGTGGGTTATGGACATGAATAGACAATTATCAAAAGAAGATATGCAAATGGCCAACAAACATATGAAAAAATGCTCAGTGTCACTAATGATCAGGGAAATGCAAATCAAAACCACAATTTGATACCACTTTATTCCTGAAGAATGGTCATAATTTAAAAATAAAAAAATAGATGTCAGTGTGGATGTAGTGAAAGGGGAACACTTTTACATCACTGGTAGGAATGTAAACTATACAACCACTATGGAAAACAATGTGGAGATTCCTTAAAGAACTAAAAGTAGATCTACCATTTGATCAAGCAATCCCATTCCTGGGTATGTACCCAGAGGAAAAGAAGTTATTGTATGGAAAAGACACTTGCACACAAATGTTTACAGTAGCACAATTTGCACTTGCAAAAATATGGAACCAGCCCAAATGCCCATCAGTCAATGAGTGGATAAAGAAAATGTGGTGTACACACACACACACACACACACACACACACACACACACACACCATGGAATACTACTCAGCCATAAAAAGGAAGGAAATGATAACATTCACAGCAACCGGGATGGAGTTGGAGACTGTTATTCTAAGTGAAGTAACTCAGGAATGGAAAACCAAACATCATATGTTCTCACTTATAAGTGAGAGCTAAGCTATGAGGACACAAAGGCCTAAGAATGGCACAATGGACTTTAGCGACTTGAGGAGAAGGGTGAGAGTGGGTGCAGGATAAAAGACTACACATTGGGTACAGTGGACATTGCTCAGGTGATGGGTGCACCAAATCTCAGAAATCACCACTAAAGAACTTATCCATGTAACCAAACACCACCTGTTCCCCATAAACCTATTGAAATAATAAAAATATCAATTTTAAAAAGAAAATTCAGTGTTTCAAGGGAACAATAAAATGACTCAAATGATCCAAGAAAAAGTCAGAAAGTTTCAGGAAGAAAGGAGGGATGGACAGCGTCAACAACAAGTGACACCTACTAATACTTAGAGCCCTAGTATTGAGAGGAGGAAGCCAGCAGAGAAAGAGAAAACGAAGACAAACCTGAGAGGAAAATCAAGGGTCTAGGAAAAAATAACACAGGCTAAATTAACAGTATGAGAGACAATTTGGTATTTTTAAATAAATCAGTGGTACAGGGGTGAGTGAAAGTTATTTCCAATAGATCCTTAAATTAAAGGGTTTACCTGTAACATCTATCCGTGAGTGGTGTAATAACCAGCCTAGGGGAATTACCCAGATATTCATATCCATATCGCAAACCAGCATTGATCATTTTTGTTTCTAAATGATTTTCCTAGGATAAATCAAATAAAATGAAGTTAAACAATAAAATTGTAAATAATATGAAATCTCAAGCTCTTTAATAAGTAATAACCATAATATAGACATCTTTAAAGTTCACTTTTCAGGTGTCATTTGATTCCATGGCAGAATTAAGTATCTAGTTTCCATCGATGAATAATTGAAGTCACTGGCTTTAATTTTTCCCATAAAATATTTTAGTATTTGTCCCTTACCTCTTCCATATTTTTAATCATTTTGTGTTAACAATAGAGTGGATATTACTCATCATTTAACAGATGAGGAAATTGATGCTTAAAGAGAATAAGTAACTTCCCCAAGGTTATACATCTGGTAACGGGAGGATCTGGCATCTGAAATGATTCCGCCATCTGAGCTTCTAGCTCAGTACTAAATACGCTGCCCCTCAATTTGTTTCCCAGGACGCTAGTTCTCACTTCTTCTCTCCTCCCACCCCATACCTCCCAAGACTTCCACAAAAGCCTATATGATGAAAACTATGCACCTGTCTATGCCCACGCCCAATAGGCCCTATCTTGCCCACTTTACTAACTGTTCCTGCCCTGTTTGCATTCCCCATCATGACTACCATCACCATCCACCTGGATGCCCTGGTAAAAACCATGTTTCTGGCTTCTTCAATTGATCAATTAGAGGAATTTTTTTTTTTTTCTGAGACAGGGTCTCACTCTGTCACCCAGGCTGGAGTGCAGTGGCGCAATCTCGGCTCACTGCAACCTCTGCCTCCTGGGGTTCAAGCAATTCTCCCACCTCAGTCCTCAAGTAGCTGGGGCTACAAGCACGCCCCACCATGTGCCCAGCTAATTTTTGTATTTTTAGTAGAGATGGGGTTTCACCATGTTGGCCAGGCTGGTCTTGAACTCCTGACCTCAAGTGATCTGCCTGCCTTGGCCTCCCAAAGTGCCAGGATTACAGGCGTGAGTCACCATGCCCAGCAATGAGAGGAAACTTTAATGACTAAATCAGACTGAAAGAGTTTGATTCATACATCCTTTAGATGCATCAAGAACCTAAAAACACAATTTTAAACTGACTAGTCCCAACATTTTGCAGATTCAGCAAGCCTAGCAACTCATTTAAAATGAGTAATTTTTGATAATTACTCATCATTTTCGTGTATCTATATATGGATATATGTTTATATATAACTATACTTTTGAATATAGATAAGGATACAGATATCAATACAGATGACATAGTTATCAGCAGCTTAATCTTCAATATAAAGAAATGCTTACTTGGGTATAGTCTGCCATCAGCAAAAGATCTCAGATTACTGCTACTATTTCCCATGTGAGCAAGCAAGCACAAATTTAAAACTACGAGCTGAAATTGCTGTGTAATATAACATTCAGTGATACCACTTACTTGCCAGTAGTACCTAAGCTGACTTAACCATTCAAAGTCAGAGTCATCGCTAATATTTTTTTTTACAAGTGATGAGAGGACATCTCTAGCATGGACATCCAGTACCACAAGTGCTCCCAGAGTTACGCGATTCTGCATGGACAATTTGCCACGCACCAAAGTGACAATATCATCAATTTGTCTGTTACATGTTTTCAAGTATTGCTCAAGAGCCTGAAAGAAAAGAAAATAAGATATGATTTCCCAATGTGATCAAAA
Source organism: Homo sapiens (assembly GCF_000001405.40). NCBI lineage: Eukaryota > Metazoa > Chordata > Mammalia > Primates > Hominidae > Homo > Homo sapiens. The sequence continues at coordinate 195,923,853 of NC_000002.12, forward strand.
TTATTTTGAACAAAACATTCTGAACTAGTATATATACAGATTATTCTCTGCATTTTGATTACAACTTTCCATGTAATACAATTTAAAAATAATTTGTTTTTCTGACTACAAAGATACTAGGTAAACAAGACCAATCAGGCCACGTATAATGGATATATGTAATTTGTGTCTACTCATTATCCTTTCCTTTTCTATTTCTTCTCTATTCTCTGTGGTTTTGTTGGAGCTGTCAATCATATTGCCCACTCTCCATGGCAATATGGAGGGGATGTGTGACTAAACCAGAGCCAATCACAGTTCTTCCTGGGGACTGCTATATAGATTGAGAGAAAAAGTACTCTTCACTAGGCTTGGTAGGCTGTGGATATGCCAACTTGAAGTAACTACAAGCTGTCTTCTGCTCTACAGAATAAAGCCTACCAGAGCCAAGAGAGATAGAAAGCAACAACAAAAGACAGCCCAGGGCTGGGCGTGGAGGCCTATAATCCCAGCACTTTGGGAGGCCAAGGCGGGCAGATCACTTGAGGTCAGGAGTTTTGAGACCAGCCTGACCAACATGGTGAAACCCCGTCTCTACCAAAAATATAAAAAGTTAGCTGGGTGTGGTGGCATGTGCCTGTAATCCCAGCTACTCGGGAGGCTGAGGCAGCAGAATAGCTTGAAACTGGGAGGTGGAGGTTGCAGTGAGCCAAGATCACGCCACTGCACTCCAGCCTGGGTGACAGAGCGAGACTCCATCACAAAAAAAAAAAAAGAGAGAGAGAGAGCAAGAGAGAGGCCACAGCACCATGCAGCCCTGAGGTCCTGATTCTGACTGTTCCTGTTTAGATCCTATGAGTCCCTCTAGTAACTCTCACATAAGCTTTCTGAAAGGGGTTTGTGCTTCTTGAAATATAAAGATGCTAATAAACAAAACATTGAATATGTTAGTTTATAATAAGCTAATGCCAGTTCTGAAGACCAGGCTTGCTTCTCTTTTCTGGCAGGTAAATCTAATGAGTAAGTTAAAAAAGACAAAAATAAAATTATAGTCAACAAAAAACACTGTGCTTAAGAGACATATCAATATGCTCCAGTGGCTGCTTTTTCTACTTTAAAAACATTTAATAAAACTGTACACCACGGAGTTTATTTCACTCTGTTACAGCCATTGCTAAGTGGCAGCAATGAAACTAAAAGTGAGGGTTCCCAAGAATGAGAAAAAGTTTAAAAGACAGAGATGAGGACTGCAAGTTGTTTCTCCAAGGGGCACTTTTCTTGTTTCCTGAAATACTTCATCTTTTTTTATTTTTTTTTTTAAGAAAGATCAGTTTTCAAAGGTTTGGTGCCTAAACACTATTTCATTTCTATTATTTACACGGTTAATTTGCTATTAATTTTCTTCTTCAGTAGCAAAAAATAAACTTCTGTCCCACCCATGTTCAACCACAAGCAGGGAGATCCCAGGAGGCTGCACGTCCCCTGGCGGGCCACCTTGGAGAAATCCCTCTGAGTGTGGTGGTTGGTGAGTGGTAGCTTAAAAGTAGAAAGACAAAATGAATTCTCTGGACTCACTGAGGAAAAAGGAAAAATACACATGGGGAGAAACACCCAAGGGCCCAAAAGTAAACTCAGGGGCTTACTGCTATTAGGGATACTCTTATGCCCCAGTGCCCTGCTTTTCATGAAGAAAGACCTTTTCCTGAAAACCCTTGACTTCCTGTTTTACACCCTATTCCTTCTTGTAGAGGAGAAGTAGGTGACCTGTTGGTAAGTTGGAGTGAATTAAACATGTGTCACTCAGTCCCTTACTCTTTGGAATCTGTCTGTCTACAGAGAACTTGCATCATTTTCAAACCCCTGTTCAACAATGTCTTAAAGACATTTCAAATTCCATGTCAAAAACATATTTAACAATTATGATTTTAAACTACAGATCTATATTTGCTAGTTTCCAGTTGACCCCTCAGTCAACTGAAAGCTGACTCACTTAAAATCCTATCTCAATGATAGAACTGCTGCAATGAATGTAATTTTAGTTTTTCATTAACAATTACAATCTAATTAATATTAAATTAATATATCCAATTATATTAGAATGTTTACATATTTAATACTAAGCATCATTTAAATATTCATAATTATTATGTATTCACAATCAATACATTAGAAATAAAAACAGTCACAATAAGTCAACTGGAGCCTTATCTATATAGGGTAGTTTTACTCAAGGTATAAAAGAGAATACTGTTACTTTATTTCCTGCTAATCTTTATGAGTTTCTTAGTCCTATTATCACTCTATTTTTAAAGGCATAAAATGTATATAATAACAAGATTGAGGTTCAAGTATCATTGACTTTTATATACCGTGAATAAACATGATTTAAACATAAATTTTGAAATTATTGGTATAAATTTTTCCTACATATTTGTTATGTGCAATTTTTATTTAAAAAATCTGTAATTTGGCTTGCAGCATAAAGTAGATTTTTAAGTGAACTGTATTTATTTTAGTTTTTAAAATAAGTGTATTCTGGCAATAATACTATTGAAAAAATGCTTAAAAAAACCCGAGGGTTAATAAAACCTTACCTTTATCCCCATTGGAATAGCTGTTTGTACTTCTTTTGTCCAAAAGATTTGGGATACACAGAGAACAGTCTGTCCAGGCCAATCCCTTACCCAGTTAATTCGTTCATATTTTGTATAGGCAAAAGTTGCATCTCCAGTTACCTAATCAAAAAAGAATATGCTAAATATTAACCATTTCCTGAACAAGTTATACAATTGAGAGCTAAACTAAACTAGATTAATTCATACTGCTCAATTTTTTACAACATTCTTAGACATTTATGCAAGACTCACTTAAACCGTGTGATTACAACTAATTATATTCAAGTTTAATCACATACCTATAAGCAAGGCAAACATATTACATAACATTTTATTTTCCTGATGTACTATCAATTTGTGTGAACCACATGGTATCAAATATTCATTTGAATAATTTTAGCCAAAGACATCCTAGATACATTTGGATTGAACAAGCATGAGCAATTTTACTGCAAAATACAAATTCAAATAATTCCAAAATGAGATCCATCAAATTTATAGATTATTTTCTTTTAATTTAATCAGATCTCCACTCAGCCATATGCCTGTACACATGCACACTTGGGCATCACACAATCTTTCTCAAGTTACTCCTGTGTTTCCAGGCCTCACTCCCTCTCAATCCTGTAGTTTGAAGCCCAAAGCAATGATGACAGAGACAGATGTACGATTCATTCATGGAGAGTTGAGGGCTGTAAAGTCAGGAAGTCTAATTTTGTACTTCAATACCTACGTTCGGTGGACTGATACATCTACTTTTTCTACCAGCCATCGGTGGGAAACACACTAGTCTGTTACATGCATCAACCAAAAATAGTGATGTCTGTGAGGTGGTATGTACTTTAATGTTTGAATTTCAGAAAAGATTTCTTAGATTTTTCTGAAAAATATCTCAGGATGGTTAAACCACTCTGGATTTCTACTCTTGCTGGGATATTTATAGAATGGAACAATGATAAAGGGCAGAATGCTGGGTGTTGATATTAAAGACATTTTTAAGAGCAGAAGAAGCCACGGAAAGAACAGGTGAAAATGGACAGCTGAGGGATGAGAGAAGCAAGTAAATAAATAAATAAATAAATTAATTAATTAATTAAAAAAATAGGCGTAGCAGAGAAATGCCAAGAAGATGGAGTAAAAATGTGCTCTAGAAGGACACTGTGGGGAGAACAAGAGAAAGACATTCAAATCTGGATCACAAAAAGGGATTTCTATATAGTTAGATGAGGAGAAATATGATTATATAAAGTTCCACAATATTATATGTAAAGTCTATTATTATATCTATGTTTACCATATTATATATGATATATATAGAATAACATATATATGTAGTAGCCTTTCAAGCATGCAAATACACATAGCACAACACAGTAACACACATATCTCCTATTTGTAGAACTGTATACTGCACTTGCTTGGATATTTTGTCAACACAAACTTATACAGGAAGATTTTTAAAAGATACTTATTTTCTACATCACTTTTTTTAAACTTTATTTTTTGTATTTTTCAACTTTTATTTTAGATACAGGGGGTATATGTGCAGGTTTGTTACATGGGCATATTGCACCAAGGTAGTGAGCATAGTGCCCAATAGTTAGTTTTTAAACTCATGCTCCCCTTTCTTCTCTCCCCATCTAGAGGTCTACAGTGTCTATTGTTGCCATGTTTATGTCCACGTGTGCTCAGTGTTTAGCTCCCACTTATAAGTGAGAACACATGGTATTTGGTTTTCTGTTCCTGTGTTAATTTGTTTAGGATTATGGACTCCAGCTCCATCTATGTTGCTACAAAGGACATGATTCCATTCTTTTTCATGCCTGCATATCCTATACAACTTCTTGCCACCCTATCTTAATGCTTTGAAATGGCAACCAAAATATTTTCTCCAAGTACTTTGACAATCAAAATTAAAGGAGTAGTTTAAATATTATCAGATATACATAAAATAATGACTTATTACTCTATACTACATAAATTAGCAAATCATATAAGCCAATTTAATGCTGCTAAAGAGTGGCCAAAGTGGAATATATTAATATTGCCAATGGTTACAAAAACAGTAATGCTATTTGTCAATATTTATCAAGGCCTATGAAAACTCATCTTCTTTGGCCCAGTAAACCCAGACATGGGCCGTTATCACACAAAAATTAAAATTCAAAGAAACCAGATATATGCATAAGTACATTCATTATAATATAATTCATAATAGGGAGAAAATCAGACCTATCCAAAAGATTTTAAATTTTCTGGAAAATATTGTGTAGGGAAGCATTAAAGCCATATTTAACAGAAACATTAAGAAGAGAAAGAAACAATGGTAACATTGAACATCTAGATTCCAGTGAATTTTTCCAACACATTTGTGGGAGAGTCTGACACATTAATTTAAATATAAATTAACTGGAAGTCCTAGACAGAGCGATCAGGCAAGAGAAAGAAATAAAAGGTATCCAAATAGGAAAAGAAGAAGTCAAACAATCCCTCTTCACTGGCAATATGATTCTACACCTAGAAAACCTCAAAGACCCCACCAAAAGACTCCTGGAGCTGATAAATGACTTCAGTAAAGTTTCAGGATATAAAATCAATGTACAAAAATCGGTAACATTTCTATACCCCAATAATGTTCAAGCTGAGAGCCAAATCAAGAATGCAATCCCATTCACAACAGCCACAGACAAAAATAAAATACCTAGGAATTCATCTAACCAAAGAGGTAAAAGATCTCTACAAGGAGAACTACAAAACACTACTGAAAGAAATCACAGATGACACAAACAAATAGAAAAATATTCCATGCTCATGGATTAGAAAAATCAGTATCATTAAAATGGTCATACTGCCCAAAGCAACCTACAAATTCAACACTATTCCTATCAAGCTACCAACATCATTTTTCACAGAACTGGAAAAAACCATTCTAAAATTCACATGGAACCACAAGAGCCTGAACAGCCAAAGAAATTCTAAGCAAAAAGAACAAAGCCAGAAGCATTACATTAGCCAACTTCAAAGTATATTATAAGGCTATCATATCCAACACAGCATGGTATGTGTACAAAAACAGGCACACAGAATAATGGAACAAAATAGGGAGCCCAGAAATAAAGGTGCACACCTATACCCATCTGCTCTTTGACAAAGTCAACAAAAATAAGCAATGGAGAAAGGACTCCCTATTCAATAAACGGTGCTTAAATAGCTGGCTAGCCATATGAAGAAGAATGAAACTTTACCCCCAACTTTCATCATATACAAAAATTAACTCAAGATGGATTAATATTTAAAGGTAAGACTTCAAACTATAAGAATCCTAGAAGAAAACCTAGGACACACCATTCTAGACATTGGTCTTGGGAAAGTATTTATGACTAAGTTCTCAAAAGCAATTGCAACAAAAACAAAAATTGACAAGTGGAAACTAATTACACTAAAGAGCTTTGGCACAGCAAAAGAAACTATCAACAGAGTAAACAGACAACCTATAGACTGTGAGAAAACATTCACAAACTATGTATCTGACCAAGGTCTAATATCCAGATTCTATAAGGAACTTAAACAATTGAACAAGCAAAAAACAAACAACCCAATTAAAAAATGAGCAGCAGGCCAGGTGCGCTGGCTCACGCCTGTAATCCCAGAACTTTGGGAGGTCAAGACAGGTGGATCACGAGGTCAAGAGATTGAGACCATCCTGGTCAACACGATGAAACCACGTCTCTACTAAAAATACAAAAATTAGCTGGGTGTGGTGGCGCACGCCTGTAGTACCAGCCACTCAGGAGCTGAGACAGAAGAATTGCTTGAATCCAGGAGATGGGGGTTGCAGTGAGATGAGATTGCACCACTGCACTCCAGCCTGGTGACAGAGCGAGACACCGCCTCAAAAAAAGAAAAGAAAATGAGCAGCAGGCATGAATAGATACTTCTCCAAAGAAGACATACTAGTGACCAAAAAACATATGAAAAATGCTCCACATCACTAACCATCAGAAAATATAAATCAGTACCAAAATGAGATATCATCTCACCCCACTCAGAATGGCTATTACTAAAAAGTCAAAAAACAAAAAATGCTGATAAGGCTGCAGAGAAAAGGGAATGCTTATACACTATTGGTGGGATTGTAAGTTAGTTCAGCTGCTGTGGAAAGCAGTTTGGAGATCTCTCAAAGAACTTAAAACAGAACTACCGTTCAACCCAGCAACCCCATTACTGAGTATATATCCAAAAGAAAATAAATTGTTCTACCAAAAAGACACATATACTCATATGTTCACTGGAGCAGTATTCACAATAGCAAAGACATGGAATCAACCTAGGTGCCATCAATGGTGGCCTGGATTAAGAAAATGTGATAAATATACACCATATAATACTATGCAGCCACAAAAATAATGAAATTATGTTCTTTGCAGCAACATGGATGCAGCTGGAGACCATCATCCTAAGCGAATTAACACAGGAACAGAAAATCAAATACCACACGTTCCCACTTACAAGTAAGTGGAAACTAAACCTTAGGTACTCATGGTCACAGATGGGAATGGCAACAATAGACACTGGGGACTACTACAAGGAGGAGGAAGAGAGGGGTCAAGGTTGATATACTAACTATTGGGTACTATGCTCAGTACCTGGGTGATGGGATCAATCACTCCCCAAACCTCAGAATCACACGATATATCTATGTAACAAACCTGCACATGTACCCCTGAATCTAAAAGTTGATATTTAAAAAAATAAAAATTTAGCTGCATAAATGTCTTCTTTTGAGAAGTGTCTGTTCATATTCTTCCCCACTTGTTGATGGGGTTGTTGTTTTCTTGTAAATTTGTTTGAGTTCATTGTAGATTCTGGATATTAGGCCTTTGTCAGATGAGTAGGTTGCGAAAATTTTCTCCCATTCTGTAGGTTGCCTGTTCACTCTGATGGTAGTTTCTTTTGCTGTGCAGAAGCTCTTTAGTTTAATGAGATCCCATTTGTCAATTTTGGCTTTTGTTGCCATTGCTTTTGGTGTTTTAGACATGAAGTCCTTGCCCATGCCTATGTCCTGAATGGTATTGCCTAGGTTTTCTTCTAGGGTTTTTATGGTTTTAGGTCTAACATTTAAGTCTTTAATCCATCTTGAATTAATTTTTGTATAAGGTGTAAGGAAGGGATCCAGTTTCAGCTTTCTACATATGGCTAGCCAGTTTTCCCAGCACCATTTATTAAATAGGGAATCCTTTCCCAATTTCTTGTTTTTGTCAGGTTTGTCAAAGATCAGATAGTTGTAAATATGTGGCATTATTTCTGAGGGCTCTGTTCTGTTACATTGGTCTACATCTCTGTTTTGGTAACAGTGCCATGCTGTTTTGGTTACTGTAGCCTTGTAGTATAGTTTGAAGTCAGGTAGCTTGATGCCTCCAGCTTTGTTCTTTTGGCTTAGGATTGACTTGGCAATGTGGGCTCTTTTTTGGTTCCATATGAACTTTAAAGTAGTTTTTTCCAATTCTGTGAAGAAAGTCATTGGTACTTTGATGGGGATGGCATTGAATCTATAAATTACCTTGGGCAGTATGGCCATTTTCATGATATTGATTATTCCTACCCATGAGCATGGAATGTTCTTCCATTTGTTTGTATCCTCTTTTATTTCATTGAGCAGTGGTTTGTAGTTCTCCTTGAAGAGGTCCTTCACATCCCTTCTAAGTTGGATTCCTAGGTATTGTACTCTCTTTGAAGCAATTGTGAATGGGAATTCACTCATGATTTGGCTCTCTGTCTGTTGTTGGTGTATAAGAATGCTTGTGATTTTTGCACATTGATTTTGTATCCTGAGACTTTTCTGAAGTTGCTTATCAGCTTAAGGAGATTTTGGGCTGAGACAGTGGGGTTTTCTAGATATACAATCATGTCATCTGCAGCAGAGACAGTTTGACTTCCTCTTTTCCTACTTGAATACCCTTTATGTCCTTATGCCTGATTGCCCTGGCCAGAACTTCCAACACTATGTTGAATAGGAGTGGTGAGAGACGGCATCCCTGTCTTGTGCCAGTTTTCAAAGGGAATGCTTCTAGTTTTTGCCCATTCAGTATGATACTGGCTGTGGGTTTGTCATAGAGAGCTCTTATTGATGGGATGATATACATCCCATCAATACCTAATTTATTGAGAGTTTTTAGAATGAAGTGTTGTTGAATTTTGTCAAAGGCCTTTTCTGCATCTATTGAGATAATCATGTGGTTTTTGTCGTTGGTTCTGTTTATATGCTGGATTACATTTATTTATTTGTGTGTGTCGAACCAGCCTTGCATCCCAGGGATGAAGCCCACTTGATTGTGGTGGATAAGCTTTTTGATGTGCTGCTGGATTCGGTTTGCCAGTATTTTATTGAGGATTTTTGCATCGATGTTCATCAGGGATATTGGTCTAAAATTCTCTTTTTTTGCTGTGTCTCTGCCAGGCTTTGGTAGCAGGATGATGCTGGCCTCATAAAATGAGTTAGGGAAGATTCCCTCTTTTTCTATTGATTGGAATAGTTTCAGAAGGAATGGTACCAGCTCCTCCTTGTACCTCTGGTAGAATTCAGCTGTGAATCCATCTGGTCCTGGACTTTTTTTGGTTGGTAAGCTATTAATTATTGCCTCAATTTCAGAGGCTGTTATTGGTCTATTCAGAGATTCAACTTCTTCAAAAGACACATGAAAAAATGCTCATCATCACTGGCCATCAGAGAAATGCAAATCAAAACCACAATGAGATACCATCTCACACCAGTTAGAATGGCGATCATTAAAAAGTCAGGAAACAACAGGTGCTGGAGAGGATGTGGAGAAATAGGAACACTTACACTGTTGGCGGGACTGTAAACTAGTTCAACCATTGTGAAAGTCAGTGTGGCGATTCCTCAGGGATCTAGAACTAGAAATACCATTTGACCCAGCCATCCCATTACTGGGTCTATACCTAAAGGATTATAAATCATGCTGCTATAAAGACATATGCACATGTATGTTTATTGCAGCACTATTCACAATAGCAAAGACTTGGAGCCAACCCAAATGTCCATCAGTGATAGACTGGATTAAGAAAATGTGGCACATATACACTATGGAATACTATGCAGCCATAGAAAAGGATGAGTTCATGTCCTTTGTAGGGACATGGATGAAGCTGGAAACCATCATTCTCAGCAAACTAACACAAAGACAAAAAACCAAACACCGCATGTTCTCACTCATAGGTGGGAATTGAACAATGAGAACACATGGACACAGGAAGGGGAACATCACACACCGGGGCCTGTTGTGGGGTGGGGGGTGGGGGGAGGGATAGCATTAGGAGATATACCTAATGTTAAATGACAAGTTAATGGGTGCAGCACACCAACATGGCACATGTATACAAATGTAACAAACCTGCACGTTGTGCACATGTACCCTAAAACTTAAAGTATAGTAACAAATAAAAAATAAAAATTTAAAATTAATTAATTAGTTATACTCCCTTCTGTTCCTTTGCTCCATCATGATTTTTATTCTTGACTAAAAACTTGAATGCTAAGCTCACACTACAGTAAAAAAAAAAACTGAGTGCTCAATCTTTATTTATTGGTGTGCCTTGAAATTCTCTACCAACAAAAGTAATCACAAATGATTGAGCTCACAGTATGTTTCATGAAATGTGGAAAATATGAAGTTGTTATTAATTGTAGGAAGCATACATTATTTTCTAACATTTTGTATGCATTTCATATATACACCGAAAAAAAGATTCATACATGTCGAGGAGATTGATGTGATCATGTAGAGAGGTGCTTCCAAGGCAAGACTAAAGAGAGACTGCATAGAACAAAGTGTATCTAATTAATGATGAAAGCACTAGCATGTGGCCACAAGAAATGAGCAGATGCATTATTCAAACCCAAGTGTTTTGTAGTATGGATGGTATTTTGTCCCACTTTTCCAGTGAGTCACTACAAAATTACTATCATAGAACATCTCTTTGCCTTCAAGTTATCTATCACATTTGAATTGGTAATTCCATGCCTCCATTTCTGTTTAAATAACAGTACATTTATCAACAGAATATTTCTAATAACATTCATATTCTAGCATCCTTTTCTAAAAATCATCAGTATAATCAGCTACCTTGTGGATGGAGTTAATCATAACTCTCTCTAATTCAACCAACCACTTCTCCACTTGACCTCTGGCTTTGGCTGTTGAAATAATCTCTATGAGTTCTACAACCTCTCCTTCGCTGCTCTTCATGTGAGTAATGTCTAAAGTTTCCGTAAATTCTACCTTTGCGATTCCTTCAAAACATTTCTTCAAGTGAGGTTGCACCCTGTCAGGAAAAACATTTTTAAGATAATTAACCAAGTTAAAACAATTCTTTACACTCCAGAGTTCTTCGTTTAAAGTTCATAAATGCTAGGTGCTGCTGGGAATGAAATGCTGTGCAAAAACCGGAAACCCCCAAAACAAACAAACAAAAAACACAAGCTCTGCCTACATGCATTATATAGTCCATTGAGATGTCAGTATTAACTGAATAATCACAAAACATCTGTAAAATTACAATTATAGTAAGAGCTACAGAGACAACCACGAGGCTTTGTCTTCAATACAATGAATTAAAAGATGCTAAAGGTAACATAAGGAGAAAACCAATCTTGACTAACAGATAAATACATGAATCTGAAGAATCTTCAAATGCACAAAAGTAGCCATTTCAACTGGGTTCTTCAGAGACTGCTTGAAAATTGTGGACTATGTTTAGTAACTTAGGTACTTTACAGTTTACTAAATCAACTGCGTTGACAGTATCCAACTATTAGTCTATTCAATGTAATACAGATGGGACTGACACAACTCATTTTTGGCACACTACCAATAACCCGTTGCATTCATCTTTCAAATGGACAAAAAGAAGCAAAGTATAAAAACTCAGATAGAAATCTGAGCCTAAATTTACCTTTTGTTTAGATTACATATCCCCTACTTTGAAGGCACAAGTTAACAAAATTAACACATTTGTTTAACAAGTATCTATTCACTGTTTATATCAGATGCTCTTCTAAAGATTGGGGAATCAGCAGTGGGAAAAAAACAGTCAAAAAATCTCTACCATGGTGGAGCTTATATTCCGCTAGAGGAAGACATGCCATTAACAAATAAGTAAATTACAGAGTATGCCAGATGATAACAACTATGCAGAAGGAAAATGAGGCAAGGAAAATAAGTCCAGGAAAGAGGGCAAGTTGAGCATGGAGGGAGCTGCCTCTTTAAATATGGTGGTCAGGGAGGGCCTCCCTGAATGACAGATGTTTAACCAGATTTCCACTAAGACTTATAGGAGGTAAAGGAAGAAGTATGATGAACATTTGGGTAAGGAGCATCCCAGGCAAGAGAACAGTACACTGAGAAAGGAGGCTGCCCCTTTTACCGGGGAATTGCAAAAAGGTTGGTGGGCTGCATGCAGAGTGAGCAAGAAGACTAGTAGGAGATGAATAGGAAGGATAACAGGGGAAGGATAATCTGTGTGGGGCATTGCAAACCATCATGAGAGCAGTGGCTTTTATTCTGAATGTGCTGTGAAAGAGCTGTGTTCTGAAAAATCTGTAAGATGTGATAAGTTAAGAAATCTGGCCAGGCACGGTGGCTCACGCCTGTAATCCCAGCACTTTGGGAGGCCGAGGCAGGTGGATCACTTGAGATCAGGAGTTCAAGACCAGCCTGGCCAACATGGTGAAACCCTGTCCCTACTAAAAATACCAAAATTAGCTGGGCATGGTGGCGCACGCCTGTAATCCCAGCTACTCGGGAAGCTGAGGCAGAAGAATCACTTGAACCTGGGAGGCGGAGGTTGCAGTGAGCCAAGGTCGCGCCATTGCACTCCAGCCTGGGAAACAAGAGTGAAACTCCATCTCAAAAACAAAAAAACAAACAAAAAAAGAAAACGATTCCACGGTTCATTCAGTGATACTAGTTACATTTTTAATAATTATCCAAAGTTGATTATATAATACTTGGAACATTCTTGTAGAAAAAATATTATATAAACATGATTATATATATTTATGTTCTACTTTGTTCTAAAAATTAAGTTTAAGCAGATAAATTTAGTCATGTATTCTACATGTAAATTACTTACCTAGTGGGATCTTTAGTCTCAGATAGTATCTCAAGAAGTTCATCATTGGACAAAAAAAAGAATCTGGGGAAAAAGAGGCGTTTCTTTTCCAAATATTCATTAAGTCCTTTAAGAATGAGCTCCAAAAGTTCATTAGATTTTTTCAGCCTTTCCAGCATTCTGTCAATGGTTACAACTGTCAGAACATGTTTATCCTAAAAATAAAAATAAAAAACACTCAATTCAAAAATATTAGATACTAACTCTATTTATATTCATATTATATTTGAGATTATATGTTTGTAATCAAACAAAGGTTATGTAAATTTTAAGGGGAGTATTTGTTTTTTAAAAGTAGTCTTGCATATTCTAGGTCTACTTGGCCTCTCTGATTCTGTAAAAGTCACATTGATTTAATCCTCAGCCCTGTTCATAACGATTCTCATTCTAAGTTGAGAAGTGTAAGAAACAGAAAATGAGAGAGAGAGAACACTGCCTGAACTCACAAGAAGGACAGTGGAAACAAACTGGTATGAGATATTTTCTTTTGTATTTTATTCTTTGAGGAAAAGAATTCTAAACAATAAGTCATCATTATAATTATTATTTTGAATTTTATTGTTATGAATAATAATAACATAACAGAATCCCTGTTTTATAACTACAGAGAAAAAAGTAAGGGTTGAGGAAATGAGGAAGAAAGCTTTCTAAGAAGATCTTACATTGTAAACAATGACCCTTGAAACTACTTTATAACACTTCTTGCTGAAGGACTGAAGTTCAAGGTGTGCTCTTCCTGAACTCTCTAGAGACAGACTGTTCCACCTTTAAGGCATGGTGAACATTCTCACTTGAAAGTGTCACTGTGAGCTGTTTGCTTTAAAGTGATTCAAACACAATCAAATATTTTTAAAAGAGCTTTCTTTTATCCTGTGTATTCAAAATAAGAATTATAACCAAAAGCTGATCTTAAAGAACTCATATTTTTTAAAAAAAGTAAATAGAGTTTATTGATTTCTCAAAATATCTATACAGTAACCACCAAGTTTATGAAAATCTTTAGAAATACATATAAAAATACAGCCTAGATATAGTTGAAATAGAATTCTTTTTACTTTTTTTTCTTTAACACATGGTTGATGTCATCTGGGTCTATTCTTGGTCTTATAATTCCAAAGTCAGTGTTCACCACTGACATCATTGACAATGTAAGGAAAGTTCTTTACTTAATAAGCTTGAAGGTGTTGAAAAAACAAAAAAGGTGCTAACACAACAGAGATTTCAATCGCCAAGTAGCACACCTCATGAAAATACACCAGACATTTATTAATGTAACAGGGCATTTTAGGAAATTTATATGAAATTAAATCAAGAGAATATTGTTAAAAACTAAATACTAAATTTCAAGATTAACTAATTAGATATTTTTGGTATTTAGCCATGACTGAGAGATAACCAAAAATGTAACCAGTAAATTTTTTCCTATAGGAATTTTATTCAATTGCAGGAGTCTCTAAAGTATGTTTTTGTGAACATACTTTGAATGTGTCTGAAAAGGAAAGATACAATTTTTGCTTTTTTTGGATTACAACAATGCAATTTGGAAACAGCAATTTAATCAAAGAAAATAATTATCATTACTTGTTTCCTCAATAAAACATGAATATATAAATCATATAATATAATTAGATCAATTTATCTTTAAAGGTGCATAATTTTTAAAAGGAATTTTATTATGCTTCTTGTTTTATGTTTCAAATAGACATTCACACACACACACACACACACACACACACACACACACAAACACACACAGCATAACAGACTCAGGCCATCATGTTCGCCTAAATCCAAATATCAAAATAATGTTCTTAGAGTGCCACCTTCTGGAAAAGTATGCCTGTATTTGTTTGGGGAAAAAAGCTGAATTGTGGCTAATAAATGTAAAAAACTCCTTTCACACATGAACAGTATTTGTTATTCTCAACCAAAAAAATTATTGCAATGTTTCCATTCTTAATCTAAGATTTGAAAGCTAAAAACTCAGTTATTTAAACCAGTATATTCCATTTGCTAAATATTATAATTGCCAAAATAACAAACAAACAACAACAAACCATGGAAAGAGCATTCAGGTAAACTTTTTTTATTATTGAATTTCCAGGGTCAAACCTATTTAACCAGATTAGCTTAATAACTCTGAACCAAATATGCTACTTTTAAATGAACACAGGCAATAATCTATGTATCTTTGTATATGGATTTAAGATTTTAAAATAAAAGTAATCATCTTATGACTGGCAACTCAACTACCTTTACTCTCTCCCAGTGAGAAGACAAACATAATAAAGACTGTATCAGATAAAGAAAGGGGCCCAAGTTGAACAGACTTGGTGTCTGTCCACACTCTATTCCCCACTACCTGTGCGACCTTAGATCATCTGCTTAATCTGAGTCCCTTTTTTATTATCTTGAAAATGGGGATAAAAGCCCTCTCTCAAAATCGGTATGAGGACTAAATTAGATAATGTATTTGAAGTGACTAATATGGTGTCTAAAACACACAGACACTTGAAGCGACCCTTTTACTCCCCCTTTCCTTCTCCTCACCCCAAAATTGTCTGTTAGAAAGAGTGCAGGTGGGGAAGGATTGACTCTGGGGAAAGGGGAAAATGAAGCATTTACATCACTCCATGTTTTATGGAGTTAAAATGAACATTTTATAATCTTCCATCCTTCAAGAAAGGTATTTATCATAGTAAAATAACACTGACTTTAAATTCCTCTAAGAATCGCCATCAAATCCTGGTACAGAGTCACCATTCCATGTTGAGTGCTTCAGCAAATGCAGGATGAACTGCACTTGGGCTCATACAGGGAAACTCAAGGAATGTACAAGCCTCCATGTCACAGAAGGCTGGTACTTCATAGCTATGTCCTCAGAACATAGCAATAAGATGTTGTAACAGGAAGCTACTAGAAATTTGAATCTTAGTATGACTTCTTTGACACTTTAATTACTTTCTGTCTCCTAAAGGGGAAGAATTGAATTATTAATTGTCATTTTTTTGGTTAAAAGAACACTGACTGACAATTTTTAAGTGTCTTCTTTTACTTCACAACCACCCACCAATCTCATCAGCTCTAGTGATGATCTACTAGGTTTACATTTCTAAACCAAATGAATGTGATATCAGGGGCCCGAAACATTGAGTATATAGAGAGCTTTCTCATTTCTGCTACTAGGAAGTTTCATAGAAAATACGGTTTTGTCACTGCTCAAAGAAATAAGAGAGAACACAAACAAATGGAAAAAAATTCCATGCTCATGGATAGGAAGGATCAATATCATGAAACTGGCCATACTGCCCAAAGTAATTTATAGATTCAATGCTATTCCCCTCAAGCTACCACTGACTTTCTTTGCAGAATTAGAAGAAACTACTTTAAATTTCACATGGAACCAGAAAAGAGCCCTTATAGCCAAAACAATCCTAAGCAAAAAGAACAAAGCTGGAGGCATCATGCTACCTGACTTCAAACTATACTACAAGGCTACAGTAACCAAAACAGCATGGTACTGGTACCAAAACAGATATATAGACCAATGGAACAGAACAGAGACCTCAGAAATCACACCACACATCTACAACCATCTGATCTTTGACAAACCTGATAAAAACAAGCAATTGGGAAAAAAATCCCTATTTAACAAATGGTGCTGAGAAAACTGGCTAGCCACATGCAGAAAACAGAAACTGGACCCCTTCCTTACACCTTACACAAAAATTAACTCAAGATTGGTTAAAGACTTAATTGTAAAACTTAAAACCATAAAAACCCTAGAAAAAGAAAACCTAGGCAATACCATTCAGGATACAGGCATGGGCAAAGACTTCATTGGCTAAAACACCAAAAGCAATGGCAACACAAGCCAAAATTGACAAATGGGATATAATTAAACTAAAGAGCTTCTGCACAGCAAAATAAACTATCATCAGAGTGAACAGGCAACCTACAGAATGGGAGAACATTTTTGCAATCTATCCATCTGACAAAGGGCTAATATCCAGAATCTACAAGGAACTTAAGCCAATTAAAAAAAAAACCAACCCCATCAAAAAGTGGGTGAAGGATATAAACACACACTTCTCAAAAGAAGACATTTATGTGGCCAACAAACCTATGAAAAAAAGCTCATCATCACTTGTTATTAGAGAAATGCAAATCAAAACCACAATGAGATACCATCTCATGCCAGTTAGAATGCCAATCATTAAAAAGTCAGGAAACAACAGATGCTGGAGAAGATGTGGAGAAATAGGAACGCTTTTACACTGTTGGTGGGAGTGTAAATTAGTTCAACCATTGTGGAAGACAGTGTGGCGATTCCTCAAAGATCTAGGATCAGAAATACCATTTGACCCAGCAATCCCATTACTAGGTATATACCCAAAGGATTATAAATCATTCTACCATAAAGCCACAAGCACACGTATGTTTATTGCGGTACTATTCACAATAGCAAAGACTTGGAACCAACCCAAATGCCCATCAATGATAGACTGAATAAAGAAAATGTGGCACATATACACCATGGAATACTATGCAGCCATTTAAAAAATGAGTTCATGTCCTTTGCGGGGACATAGATGAAGCTGGAAGCCATCATTCTCAGCAAACTAACACAGGAACAGAAAACCAAACACTGCATGTTCTCACTCATAAACGGGAGTTGAACAATGAGAACACATGGACACAGGGAGGGAAATATCACACACTGGGGCCTGTCGGGGGTTGGGGGGCAAGAGGAGGGAGAGCATTAGGACAAACACCTAATGCATGCAGGGCTTAAAACCTAGAACCTAGATGACAAAAAAAAAAAAAAAAAACCTAGATGACAGGTTGATAGGTGCAGCAAACCACCATGACATATGTATACGAAGGTAACAAACCTGCGTGTTCTGCACATGTATCCCCAAACTTAAAGTAAAATAAAAAATAATAAAAAATAAAAAAAGAGATAATGCAGTTTTGTATACTTAATGGAATTAAGCTCAAGCCTGCCTGGTAAATTTCTGGGAGCATAAATTTCCTAATGCAAAATCCCTGGACAACAGAAAATTGATAAGATCCTCATTAAACCTTTTGCACTTCAAGAAAGGAAATGTAGGTTGACAGAGTAGAACTTAAAACCTCTTACAATTTTAAGAGTCCTTGACTTCATCAGGAGCAGAAACTCTTTCATTTAGATTCAATGTATTTCTAGGATTAACCTAAATCTCAGGGCCCATTTGCCTAAAATTGAGTTTTCAGAAGTTTTCCAGAGTAAACTCAGAATCTTAGAATTAACAATAATTCAAGCATCAATCTCAATTATTACTCATTTAACAAACATTTACCAAGGGCTAATACACGTTAGTGACCTTTCTCAGTGCTTGGGTGACAACAGTGGACAAAACAAAGATCCCAGCCTCCATGGGGGAGACAGACAATAAATAACAAACATCATATTGATAAATTATATAGTAAGGTAGATGATAGATGCTACAAAACAGAAAGAAGTGATAAGAAGTGCCAAAAAAGTCAAAGGTGGGTTAATTTCAAATAGGATGTTCGATGTGAGCCTCTTTATAAAGGTAATATTTGAGAAAATATATCAAGAAAGCAAAGCATTAACACCGCAGATATTTAGAGGTAGCACATTCCAGAAGAGGGTCCAACCAGTGCAAACGCCCTCGGATACAGTGTGTTTGTTATTTGAGAAGAAGGAAGGGTGGGGAGGAAGCAAAAGAAGGAGAAGGAGAAGAGGAAGAAGGAAGAAGATGAAGAGGAGGAAGAGGAAGAAGGAAGAAGATGAAGAGGAGGAAGAGGAAAAAGGAAGAAGAGGAAGAGGAGGAGGAAGGAGGAAGAAGAGGAGATAGCCAGTGTGGCTGGAATAGAGTAAGTACAGTGAAAAGTTATAAAGACAGAGAGGTAAAAGCGTGGAATGAGCAGATCAAGAACTTCCCATTTAATGAAATCATTAATATGTCCCTCATATAGAAGTATTTCTTCCCTGGACACTGAGATTACTTAATCTAGTTAGGATAATCTCTACTAGATTTCATCTAGAAAAGCCAAAAGTTGAGAAGCAAAATTGTTGTTAGCAGATTACATGGTTAATTGGTGAGACATGTCACTTCTATTTTTACTCTTTAATTCCCAGATCCATGTACTCTACCTATGAGAGAAATCATATCCCTGGAGTGGACAGAGAACATATACCATGTACACTCTAGAACTGCAGCCCAAACTCCCATCACCTTCCAACAGTGATATGGTTTGTTGTCCCCACCCAAATCTCACCTTGAATTGTAATAACCCCTGTGTGTCATAGGAGGGACCTGGTGGGAGGTAATTGAATCATCGGGGTGGGTTTTTCCTGTGCTGTTCTCATGATAGTGAATAAGTCTCATGAGATCTGATGGTTTTATAAAGGGGAGTTCCCCTGCACATGCTCTCTTGCTTGCCACCATGTAAGATGTGACTTTGCTTCTCATTTACTTTCCACCATGATTGTGAGGCCTCCCCAGCCATGTGGAACTGTAAGTCAATTAAACCTCTTTCCTTTGTAAATTACCTGGTCTCAGGCATGTCTTTATTAGCAGCATGAGAACAGACGAACATACACAGATAGAGCAAATTAATCTTCAATATAAGCCAATTCACTTTGTTTAAGGTCAATATTCATAGTAGGACCTTTACTATTACCGATGTCAGTCAACTGTCTTATTTCCCTTATAAGGTGAGTTCCTTAGCATATGCAATGTTGTGTGGAAACTGTGATAATGAGTAAGTCATTCAGTAAGTCAATGAATGACAGTATTGGCAGAAACTTGCTGTGGGAAAACAAAAATTCATTTCGTGCAGACACAACACTGCTGGCTTCCATATTGAAAGAGGGCCAATGTAATATTCAATTCCCTCTAAATGAGTGCTGTATCAGAAGCATTATGTTAATTTCTGCTGTTGGCAGCTTGAGTGCACCCAGCAGTGTTGGTGAGGGGTAGTCTCCGATAGTAATTCCTTCCATAATTCCCACCACTGCCATCATGACTTCTTCATTTATAGCTACATTAGCCATGTATCCCAGTTTGATGAAGATAGTTCTGGTTCATGCTTGCTTTCTCAGATTATTAATTGCTTTAACTCTCAAATGTTCTCCAATTTGGACAATATATTAAATGATTATTCTATTTCATAGCTCACTGTGCACATAGTGGCATATGCCGGTTGACATGTACAGACTAGGTCAACTGGTCAACCATATAATTAAGTTCCTCCTTTTGCAGTTGCACCTGCTACTAAGCAATCACATGGAACACAAATATGCTCGCTTTTAGGTATATTCTCTGATTCCTTACATACCTCTTCCCCAGTCTTCCTTTTTCCCAATCCTTCAAACTTGTTTCTAAGTCCTTGATTATGCAGCATAACTGTTTGCTACTGACCATCATCAACATAAATTCATACTTCTGACCAAGCACTCTTTCCAAGGAAAGTTAGAAAACCAATATAATTATTGAAGTTATGCCCATGAGAAGAATTTCTTTCCTATTGTTAAGTCCACCCCTAAGTGGAGTTATAATTTCCACTTCTGGATGGTGCAAGCATATGCGGCACAAACATCTGCAAGCAACTCTCTAATTTCTTTAAATCCAATCAAGGATTTTCTACCATTTCTATCTAATTGAGACAGGCCATTACAGAAGCCAGGTTTGGTCAATAAAACAAGTAAACAGAACCACTCACAGCTCCTTGACTAGCATCTTGAAACAGGATCTCTGGTAAGTGCACCCATATCAACACATTTGACCACATCTAACTTATGTTCTTTCCTCCCTACACAAGCACCATTACAATATATTGCCACTTAATTTATCTACACCTCTGCCAAGGATTCTGGCAAGTGAGGCTAAACAGAGTTTGAGGGTCAGGGTACCCAGAGTCAATTACATCCAAGTGTCCCCATTTTCAGTTTTCACCACCCCATGCTTTGCAATAAGTAAACTATCTTTCACATAACAGATCTAGAAAGGCCATGAATTAAATTACATTGAAATTTGGTGACCTATTGAATCAGATTCTATAACTCATTTTTGGCTATATCAAATTTGTAGCTATGAGAAATAAAAGGCTCTTTTAGCAAATCACAGAAGTTTCTTAGTTTTCTGACCACATCTTGAGCAGAGAATTTAAAACTGCAAATTATACCATGTCTTTTATTTCTCCAGTGCTTTTTAAAGAATTCAGCCCATCTCACCTCCCTTGTACTTCAAATTCTTATCATATTGACCTATTCAAGCAGCCTCATGGTCCACCAAACACTTCCCTGTACAACAGATTGTTCATTCTGGAAGTCTAAGAACATAATTGATTGAGTGATTTTTACACTGCATACCAGATACTCCTAGTGTCCTATTTTCAAGCAATAACTAGATCTTCACTACTCTAAAACCCAAGTGGGTCATAAACAATCCTAGATCTCATACTTGAGGTTCTGGTATAGTTTATTCAAGTTCAGTGCAGAACCCTTCTACATATTAAGCAAAAAGGAATTTAACACAGGGAATAAAGTGATTACAAAATCACTGGAAAGCCTAGGGGAGCATACTTCCAGGACAGACTACTAAAACATAAGAACTGACTTTTCAGGATTTACTACTTCTGCCCCAATCAGGACTAAAGGATAACACCATTGGAAATACTGAGTTCAACAACCCATCATGGTGGCTCTGATGCCAGAGTTCACTGGGTGGGATCAGGAGGCCACCATTATCACTGCCTCATAATACCTATAAAACTGGTAACCAGATAAGTCCTGTTGGAAAAAAAAGTCATGTGTTCACGATCTTCCTTGACAGCAGAAATAGCTAAAATGACAGAAAGCTGGTCACTTTCACTTTTTCCATCCAAATCCCAAATGAGTGTATCTAACTGACAAGATCTAATTCACTTCCAGAAAGTCAGATGTAGAGAGCCTGGCAGATGATCTTTTCTGCTTTTCAGCTCACTAGATAGAGGTGAAATGCTTGTTGCCAAATTACATTTACTACAGTAAAGAAAACAAGGAAAATAAAGAATGAGTACTAAGTTTTTGGCCTGAGCAACAGAAAGAATAGTGTTATATTTATTGAGATGGGGTTAGACAAGAAAAGGAAAATGTTTGGGAAAAAATTTAAGAGTGTTTTTGTCTGCTTTGCATGAAATACAAAAGACTTGGATGAGTCAAAAACCAAGTTTGGGGGTGAAATGCAGCATGCAGAGAGGGATTATCCACTTACTTCATCTCCATCTGGTGGGTAATTAACTAGTTCCCATTCCCTGAATCTCAAGAAGGGGGGCCCAAGAGAGTCCCTAATAAATTTTCTAAGGGCCTGAAAGGAGAGGAAACTGACATCTTTCCTAGCTGGAGATCTGGTCAGTCACCCGGTGTGCTGAACTGCTCCAATGCTACTAGAACAGGAAAAAAACTCTGGGAGAAGATGGTGTGGTGGAATGGCCAGTGAAGAAGGGGCAAGAACTATATGCTCAAGGATACAAACAAAGTGGGTAGGGAAGATGAATTGTGCCCTTCTGCAGACCCCACTTTTGGGCTATGGCAGGCAGATGAAAAATTTTTTCCCATAACCTAATCTTAAAAGTAAGCAGGCATATGAAATTAAAGGCTGAAGATTTGTGAAATACTGCTACAGTATGGGGTAAAGAGACATACACAACAAAAATATGGCAAAATACAACATCAGAAGGTCAGTTTGAAGATGTAGCCAAATCTCCCAGACAACGAACAAACCTAGGGGAGATACTCAAGATGAAGTCCCTCAGCAGCCAGACCTGTGTTGGATCTTCACCTGTCTACCCCGGATTAATCTGTGCTCATTACATACCCACAACTCTCCAACAGGCTAGACCAGTTGCAAAGACCAACAGAAAAGGCACAGGGCCTTCACATCACTGACAGGAGGTTAATTACCTTATGACCACTGACAAAAAAGAACAGCCCATTTTGCAGGATCAGGTATATCAGAAAATGTTCTTTTACCCTCACTCTCTCTTTCTTTCTCTCTCTTTCTCTCTCCCTCTTACTTTCTCTCTCCCCATCCCTCCCTTCCTCCTTCTCTTCACCCGGTCCTTGTCCCAAACCCAGATGAGAAGCACAGGAGGAGAGAAGTAGAGTGGGAGAGTAGTCTCCATATCTCCCCACCCCTGGAACTTCATGTTTACTTGCACTGTGGGGAAGAGGAGAGCTCAGAGTAGAACAGAAGACTGAGGATTTGAAACAGGTACAAAACTCTCTTAATAAGCAAAAGTGACTGAAAAATTCTGGAATTAGATTGAAAGATCAATAAGGGAGCCTCTCTGAGTGAGAAAGGTCACTGGTTGAGTATAGTTGGTAGCATGAATTATAAGATTATTTCATGTTTACACCTCAAGGAAACCAAGACATCTCAATAAAGCCAATTATATATATATTTATATAATTATAATATATATAATTATAATTATATATTATATATCTACATAATTATATATTATTTTTATATATATAGTATTTTTAGTAGAGACGGGGTTTCACCATGTTGGCCAGGCTGGTCTCGAACTCCTGACCTCAGGTAATCCACCGCCTTGGCCTCCCAAAGTGCTGGATCACAGGCGTGAGCCACATGTCTTATTTTTTTAAATTATGATTATACTTTAAGTTCTGGGATACATGTGCAGAACGTGCAGGTTTGTTACATAGGTATACACGTGCCATCGTGGTTTGCTGACCCTATCAACTAGTCATCTACATTAGGTATTTCTCCTAATGCTATCCCTCCCCTACCCCTTCACCCCACAACAGGCCCCAGTGTGTGACGTTCCCCTCCCTGTGTCCATGTGTGCTCATTGTTCTACTCCCATTTATGAGTGAGAACATGTAGTGTTTGGTTTTCTGTTCCTGTGTTAGTTTGCTGAAAATGATGGTTTCCAGCTTCATTCATGTCCCTGTAAAGGACATGAACTCATCCTTTTTTATGGCTGCATATTATTCCATGGTGTATATGTGCCACATTTTCTTTATCCAGTCTATCATTGATGGACATTTGGGTTGGTTCCAAGTATTTGCTATTGTGAATAGTGCTGCAATAAACACACGTGTGCATGTGTCTTTATAGCAGAATGATTTATAATCCTGTGGGTATATACCCAGTAATGGGATTGCTGGGTCAAATGGTATTTCTGGTCCTAGATCCTTGAGGAATCACCACACTGTCTTCCACAATGGTTGAACTAATTTACGCTCCCACCAACACTGTAAAAACGTTCCTATTCCTTCACAGCCCCTCCAGCATCTGTTGTTTCCTGACTTTTTAGTGATCACCATTCTAACTGGCATGAGATGGTATCTCATTGTGGTTTTGATTTGCATTTCTCTAATGACCAGTGATAATGAGCTTTTTTTCATAGGTTTGTTGGCCACATAAATGTCTTCTTTTGAGAAGTGTCTGTTCACATGCCTTGCCCACTTTCTGATGGGGTTGTTTTTTTTCTTGTAAATTGGCTTAAGTTCATTGTAGATTCTGGATATTAGTCCTTTGTCAGATGGATAGATTGCAAAAATTTTCTCCCATTCTGTAGACTGCCTGTTTACTCTGATGATAGTTTATTTTGCTGTGCAGAAGCTCTTTAGTTTAATTATATCCCATTTGTCAATTTTGGCTTGTGTTGCCATTGCTTTTGGTGTTTTAGTCTTGAAGGCTTTGCCCATGCCTGTATCCTGAATGGTATTGCCTAGGTTTTCTTCTAGGGTTTTTATGGTTTTAGGTCTTACGTTTAAGTCTTTAATCCATCTTGAGTTAATTTTTGTATAAGGTGTAAGGAAGGGGTCCAGTTTCAGTTTTCTGCCTATGGCTAGCCAGTTTTCCCAACACCATTTATTAAATAGGGAACGCCTTCCTCATTGCTTGTTTTTGTCAGGTTTGTCAAAGATCAGATGGTTGTAGATGTGTGGTGTGATTTCTGAGGTCTCTGTTCTGTTCCATTGGTCTATATCTCTGTTTTGGTACCAGCACCATGCTGTTTCGGTTACTGTAGCCTTGTAGTATAGTTTGAAGTCAGGTAGCGTGATGCCTCTTGCTTTGTTCTTTTTGCTTAGGATTGTCTTGGCTATAAGGGCTCTTTTTTGGTTCCATATGAAATTTAAAGTGGTTTTTTTCTAATTCTGTGAAGAAAGTCAATAGCAGCTTGATGAAGATAGCACTGAATCTATTAATTACTTTGGGCAGTATGGCCATTTTCACGATACTGATTCTTCCTATCCATGAGCATGGAATCTTTTTCCATTTGTTTGTATCTTCTCTTACTTCCTTGAGCAGTGGTTTGTAGTCCTCCTTGAAGAGGTCCTTCACATCCCTTGTAAGTTGTATTCCTAGGTATTTTATTCTTTTTGTAGGAATTGTGAATGGGAGTTCGCTCATGATTTGGCTGTTTGTCTATTATTGGTATATAGGAATGCTTGTGATTTCTGCACACTGATTTTGTATCCTGAGACTTTTCTGAAGTTGCTTATCAGCTTAAGGAGATTTTGGGCTGAGACAATGGAGTTTTCTAAATATGCAATCATGTCATCTGCAAACAGAGACAATCTGACTTCCTCTCTTCCTTTTTGAATACCACTTATTTATTTATTTATTTATTTATTGAGATGGAGTCTCACTCCATTGTCCTGGCTGGAGTGCAGTGGCACAACCTCAGTTCACTGCAACCTCTGCCTCCCGAGTTCAAGCAATTCTCCTGTCTTCGCTTCCTGAGTAGCTGGGACTACAGTCACACACCACTACACCTGGCTAATTTTCGTATTTTCAGTAGAGATGGAGTTTCACCTTGTTGGTCAGGCCGGTCTCGAACTCCTGACCACAGGTGATCCACCTGCTTCAGCCTCCCAAAGCGCTGGGATTACAGGCATGAGCCACAGCGCCTGGCTTACCCTTTATTTCTTTATCCTGCCTGATTGCCCTGGCCAGAACTTCCAATACTATGTTGAATAGGAGTGGTGAGAGAGGGCATCTTTGTCTTGTGCCGGTTTTTCAGAGGGAATGCTTCCAGCTTTTGCCCATTCAGTATGATATTGGCTGTGGGTTTGTCATAAATACATTATTATTTTGAGATACGTTCCATAAATACCTAGTTTATTGAGAGTTTTTAGCATAATGTGATGTTGAATTTTATCAAAGGTCTTTTCTGCATCTATTGAGATAATCATGTGGTTTTTGTCATTGGTTCTGCTTATGTGATGGATTACGTTTACTGATTTGTATATGTTGAACTAGCCTTGCATCCCAGGGATGAAACTGACTTGATCATGCTGGATAAGCTTTTTGATGTGCTGCTAGATTTGGTTTGCCAGTATTTTATTGAGGATTTTCGCATCAATGTCCATCAGGGATATTGGCCTGAAATTTTCTTTTTTTGTTGTGTCTCTGCCAGGTTTTGGTATCAGGATGATGCTGGCCTCATAAATGGGTTAGGGAGGAGTCCCTCTCTTTTTCTATTCTTTGGAACAGTTTCAAAAGGAATGGTGCCAGCTCCTCTTTGCACTCCTCTGGTAGAATTCGGCTGTGAATCTCTCTGGTCCTGGGCTTTTTTTTGGTTGGTAGGCTATTAATTACTGCCTCAATTTCAGAACTTGTTATTAGTCTATTCAGGGATTCAACTTCTTCCTGGTTTAGTTTTGGGAGGGTGTATGTGCCCAAGAATTTATCCATTTCTTCTAGGTTTTGTAGTTTATTTATGCAGAGGTGTTTATAGTAATCTCTGTGATGGTAGTTTGTATTTCTGTGGGGCCGGTGGTGATATCCCCTTTATCATTTTTTTTATTGTGTCTATTTGATTCTTCTCTCTTTTCTTCTTCATTAGTCTGGCTAGCAGTCTATCTATTTTGTTAATCTTTCCAAAAAACCAGCTCCTGGCTGAGCATGGTGGCTCACGCCTGTAATCCCAGCACTTTGGGAGGCTGAAGCGGGCAGATCACAAGGTCAAGGGATCGAAACCATCCTGGCTAACATGGTGAAACCCCATCTCTACTAAAAATACAAAACCAAAATTAGCCAGGCGTGGTGGCGGGTGCCTGTAGTCCCAGCTACTCGGAAGGCTAAGGTGGGAGAATGGCGTGAACCCAGGAGGCGAAGCTTGCAGTGAGCCAAGACCATGCCACTGCACTCCAGCCTAGGCAACAGAGTGGGACTCTGTCTCAAAAAAAAAAAAAAAAAAAAAAAAAAAACCCAGCTCCTGGATTCAATGATTTTTTTTGACAGGTTTTTTGTGTCTCTATCTCCTTCAGTTCTGCTCTGATCTAAGTTATTTCTTGTCTTCTGCTAGCTTTTGAACTTGTTTGCTCTTGGTTCTCTAGTTCTTTAAATTGTGATGTTAGGGTGTCTGTCGATTTTAGATCTTTCCCACTTTCTCCTGTGAGCATTTAGTGCTATAAAGTTCCCTCTAAACACTGCTTTACCTGTATCCCAGAGATTCTGGTATGTTGTGTCTTTGTTCTCATCGGCTTCAAAGAACTTATTTATTTCTGCCTTAATTTAGTTATTTACCCAGTAGTCATTCAGGAGCAGGTTGTTCAGTTTCCATGTAGTTGTGTGGTTTTGAGTGAGTTTCTTAACTCTGAGTTCTAATTTGATTGCACCATGGTCTGAGAGACTGTTTGTTATGATTTCTGTTCTTTTGCATTTGCTGAGGAGTGTTTTACTTCCAATTATGTGGCCAAATTTAGAGTAACTGTGATATGGTACTGAGAAGAATGTATATTCTGTTGATTTGGGGCAGAGCATTCTGCAGATGTCTACTAGCCCTGCTTGGTCCACAGCTGGGTTGAAGTCCTGAATATCCTTGTTAATTTTCTGTCTCGTTGATCTGTCTAATACTGTGGGGTGCTAAAGCCTCCCACTATTATTGTGTGGGAGTCCAAGTCTCTTCTTAGGTCTCTAAGAACTTGCTTTATGAATCTGGGTGCTCCTATGTTGGGTGCATGTATATTTAGGATAGTTAGCTCTTCTTGTTGTATTGATCCCTTTACCATTATGTAATGGCCTTGTCTCTTTTGATCTTTGTTGGTTTAAAGTCTGTTTTATCAGAGACTAGGATTGCAACCTCTTTTTTTTTTCTTTCCATTTGCTTGGTAAATATTCCTCCATCCCTTCATTTTGAGCCTATGTGTGTGCCTGCACATGAGATGGGTCTCCTGAATACAGCACACCGATGGGGCTTGACTCTTTATCCAATGTGACAGTCTGTGTCTTTTAATTGGGGCATTTAGCCTGCTTACATTTAAGGTTAATATAGTTATGTGTGAATTTGATCCTGTCATTATGATGCTAGCTGGTTATTTGGCCCATTAGTTGATGCAGTTTCTTCATA
The DNA here is from genome assembly GCF_000001405.40 of Homo sapiens. NCBI lineage: Eukaryota > Metazoa > Chordata > Mammalia > Primates > Hominidae > Homo > Homo sapiens. Next base: position 195,952,022 of record NC_000002.12, read on the forward strand.
GTGTCAATGATCTTTACAATTTGGTATGTTTTTGCAGTGGCTGATGCTAGTTGTTTCTTTCCATGTTTAGTGCTTCCTTCAGGAGCTCTAGTAAGGCAGGCCTGGTGTTGACAAAATCTCTCAGGATTTGTTTGTCTGTAAAGGATTTTATTTATCCTTCACTTATGAAGCTTAGTTTGGCTGGATATAAAATTCTAGGTTGAAAATTCTTTTCTTTAAGAATGTTGAATATTGGCCCCTACTCTTTTCTGGCTTGGAGGGCTTCTGCAGAGAGATCTGCTGTTAGTTCAATGGGCTTCCCTTTGTGGGTAACCCGACCTTTCTGGCTGCCCTTAACATTTTTTCCTTCATTTCAACCTTGGTGAATCTGACGACTATGTGTCTTGGGGTTGCTCTTCTCGAGGAGTATCTCTGTGGTGTTCTCTGTATTTCCTGAATTTGAATGTTGGCCTGTCTTGCTAGGCTGGGGAAGTTCTCCTGGATAATATCCTGAAGAGTGTTTTCCAGCTTGGTTCCATTCTCCCCGTCAATTTCAGGTACACCAATCAAACATGCAGGTTTGGTCTTTTCACATAGTCCCATATTTCTTGAAGGCTTTGTTCGTTCCTTTTCATTCTTTTTCTCTCTCATCTTGTCTTCATGCTTTATTTCATTAAGTTGCTCTTCAATCTCTGATACCCTTTCTTCTACTAGATCAATTTGGCTATTGATACTTGTGTATGGTTCACAAAGTTCTCGTGCTGTGTTTTTCAGCTCCATCAGGTCATTTATGTTCCTCTCTACACTGGTTATTCTAGTTAGCAATTCGTCTAACCTTTTTTCAAGGTTCTTAGCTTCCTTGCATTGGGTTAGAACATGCTCCTTTAGCTTGGAGGAGTTTGTTATTACCCACCTTCTGAAGCCTACTTCTGTCAATTTGTGAAACTCATTCTCGGTCCAGTGTTGTTCCCTTGCTGGCAAGGAGTTGTAATCCTTTGGAGGAGAAGAGGCATTCTGGTTTTTGTAATTTTCAGCCTTTTTGCCTGGTTTTTCCTCATCTTCGTGGGTTTATCTACGTTTGGTCTTTGATGCTGGTGACCTTCGGATGGGGTTTTTGTGTGGATGCCCTTTTTGTTGATGTTGATGCTAATCCTTTCTGTTTGTTGGTTTTCCTTCTAATACTCAGGCCCCTCTGCTGCAGGTCTGCTGGAGTGTGCTGGAGGTCCACTCCAGACCCTGTTTGCCTGGGTATCACCAGCAGAGGCTGCAGAACAGCAAAGATTGCTGCCTATTCCTTCCTCTGGAAGCTTCGTCCCAGAGGGGCACCCGCCAGATGCCAGCTGGAGTTCTCCTGTATGAGGTGTCTGTTGACCCTGGCTGGGAGGTATTTCCCAGTCAGGAGGCACAGAGGTCAGGGGCCCACCTGAGAAGGCAGTCTGTCTCTTAGCAGAACTCAAGCGCTGTGCTGGGTGATCCACTGCTCTCTTCAGAGCCAGCAGGTAGGAACGTTTAAGTCTGCTGAAGCTGTGCCCACAGCCGCCCCTTCCCATGGGTGGTCTGTCCCAGGGAGATGGGAGTTTTATCTATAAGCCCCTGACTGGGGCTGCTGCCTTTCTTTCAGAGATGCCCTGCCCAGAGAGGAGGAATCTAGAGAGACAGTCTGTCTACAGCAGCTTTGCTGAGCTGCAGTGTTCTGGGCTCTACCCAGTTGGAACTTCCCAGCGGCTTTGTTTACACTGTAAGCCAGTTATATTAACAACAGTATTTACATCCTATTTTCAACCTCTGAGGTTTTTAAAAGAACCTTTATTAGGAACTCCTAAGAATGAAGGCAATAACCTGATGTACCAAGCAATTAATCCAGTGGCCTCTACTATACACACCATGTCATTAGACTTCCTAAAAGAATATGGGTTTATGTTTATTTTCAGCTCTTTGGAGAGCATGAGCAAAAGCTTCCCTGAATACTAACATATGGAGAAAGAGAAAATGCAAAGCAGATGAGAAAGACAATCGAGTCTTTTTTTTAAATTTTATTAATTATACTTTAAGTTCTAGGGTACATGTGCACAACATGCAGGTTTGTTACATATGTATACATGTGCCATGTTGGTGTGCTGCACCCATTAACTCGTCATTTAACATTAGGTATATCTCCTAATGCTATCCCTCCCCACTCTCCCCACCCCACGACAGGCCCTGGTATGTGATGTTCCCCTTCCTGTGTCCAGGTGTTCTCACTGTTCAATTCCCACCTATGAGTGAGAACATGTGGTGTTTGGTTTCCTGTCCTTGCAATAGTTTGCTGAGAATCATGGTTTCCAGCTTCATCCATGTCCCTACAAAGGACATGAACTCATCCTTATTTATGGCTGCATAGTATTCCATTGTGTATATGTGCCACATTTTCTTTACCCAGTCTATCACTGATGGACACTTGGGTTGGTTCCAAGTCTTTGCTATTGTGAATAGTGCCACAATAAACATACATATGCATGTGTTTTTATAGCAGCATGATTTATAATCCTTTGGGTATATACCCAGTAATGGGATGGCTGGGTCAAATGGTATTTCTAGTTCTAGATCCTTGAGGAATCACCACACTGTCTTCCACAATGGTTGAACTAGTTCACAGTCCCACCAACAGTGTAAAAGTGTTCCTATTTCTCCACATCCTCTCCAGCACCTGTTGTTTCCTGACTTTTTAATGATTGCCATTCTAACTGGCATGAGATGTTATCTCATTGTGGTTTTGATTTGCATTTCTCTGATGGCCAGTGATGATGAGCATTTTTTCATGTGCCTGTTGGCTGCATAAATGTCTTCTTTTGAGAAGTGTCTGTTCATATCCTTCACCCACTTGTTGATGGGGTTGTTTTTTTCTTGTAAATTTGTTGGAGTTCTTTGTAGAATCTGGATATTAGCCCTTTGTCAGATGGGTAGATTGCAAAAATTTTCTCCCATTCTGTAGGTTGCCTGTTCACTCTGATGGTAGTTTCTTTTGCCGTGCAGAAGCTCTTTAGTTTAATTATACCCCATTTGTCAATTTTGGCTTTTGTTGCCATGGCTTTTGGTGTTTTAGACATGAAGTCCTTGCCCATGCCTATGTCTTGAATGGTATTGCCTAGGTTTTCTTCTACAGTTTTTATGGTTTTAGGTCTAACACTTAAGTCTTTAATCCATCTTGACTTAATTTTTGTATAAGGTGTAAGGAAGGGATCCAGTTTCAGCTTTCTACATATGGCTAGCCAGTTTTCCCAGCACCATTTATTAAATAGGGAATCCTTTCCCCATTTCTTGTTTTTGTCAGGTTTGTCAAAGATCAGATGGTTGTAGACGTGTGGTATTATTTCTGAGGGCTCTCTTCTGTTCCATTGGTCTATATCTCTGTTTTGGTACCAGTACCATGCTGTTTTGGTTACTGTAGCCTTGTAGTATAGTTTGAAGTCAGGTAGCATGATGCCTCCAGCTTTGTTCTTTTGGCTTAGGATTAAGACAATCAAGTCTTAAGCAAAAGTAAATGAAGTGTTACTCTCCCCTCCCCAACAGAAAATACCTATTTATTTAGAAATTAGGGTAAGTAATGTTTTTGTTTGTTTCCAGTGGTTTCATAGGATAAAAATTTGCCTCCTTTATTTACAAGGCCCAACACAGCTGCCCTTTCAAGGAACTGAGATATCTATAAAATTTCTTGGCAATATGGAATTTTGAAGAGTATTTTGATTACATATTTAAAAAGAATTTAATTTTTTAAATATACTAACTAAAAGAATACAAGTATCTACTTTTTGCTTTTTAAAACAACAAAAAATTCTCCTTCATCACCTTCTAAATGGAAATATATCCATATTATAAGGATTTTGCACTGTTGTAAGGAAACTATATATAAAAGACTGAATTTATGACATAAATTAATTAGAGATGATTGTGTTACAAAGCAACTTACTAATAGGTTCTTTAAATATGGAATTAATTCCAGTGTGATTAATTTTACAGAAGTTTGGTTTATAAAAAGATTTGTTTCAGGTATTATTACATAAATGAGGTAAAGATTAAATAAATAAAACCATGTCCATCTTTCTGAATATTTTCCTATCAGATCATATAGTTGACGTCAATACAGTATTATCAATATTTCGGATTATAGTAACAGCTCTTAAAGTTTAAATAACAATAAAGATATGCATATTTCTATTTCAGGGTAAGACATTTTTAAGATAATACTTATCCTACCTTATAGTATTATATTTTATCAAAATACCAATGCAGAAGTTTATATTCATTTAATGATATGATTTAATAACTTTTTTCTATTTTAATATTTAATGACACACAACCATGCTTCCGAGGCAGTGAATAAATGTATTCTGCCAGTCATGGTGGCTCACGCCTGCAATCCCAGCATTTTGGGAGGCCGAGGCGGGTGGATCACTTGAGGTCAAGAGATCGAGACCAGCCTGGCCAACATGGTGAAACCCCATGTCTACTAAAAATACAAAAATTAGCTGGGCATGGTGGCACACACCTGTAATCTCAGTTACTTGGGAGGCTGAGGCGGGAGAATCACTTGAGCCTGGGAGGCAAAGGTTGCAGTAAGCCAAGATTGCACCACTGCACTCCAGCCTGGGTGACAGAGCGAGACTCTGTCTCAAAAAAAAAAAAAAGTCTTCTGAATTGAACAAAAAACGTACTTTTTTTTAGTGTTACTGGTTTTTATTAAATTCTCTCTTTAGCTTAAATTTTAAGTTCTCCTCCACAGTATTTGTGTATTTTTCTTTCTTTATTGCATTTTATTTGCATTTATTGGACTTTTTAGATATATTTATCCTTGCAACTCATCTTTTTTTAGGTCCCTACCAGAAACATGTGTTGAGAGGTTGGCATACTGACATGTGTGCACCACAGTGAGTTTCAGTGGGTTGCATTCCATAACAAGAGAGCCACAGAATAGACGGAGACAGCAAGTACCTCGTACAGTGTCTTCCCTCCAGTGCATCAGATAAGAACCAATAACAGAACCAAAGGTTGTTAAACAATGCAAATTCCAATTTGGACCTCAAGGAGTAATCAGGACAAAATACCTACTTTTGCTTGCGACATTTTCTGCTCCTGGCATTCTAAAATAATAGCTGAAAAGACAATGTATGTATGAAACAGATAATGGCTTATTGGAAACAATAATGGCTTATATGGATTTCTGAAAACAAAAATCATGTCACTTCAACCAAATAATGACATTTTTGGAGATTTTTTCACCTACCTGCATGACACTTCTCATTATATCTCTCCATGTCTTATCCACAGCTGTAAATCGTCTGCCTTCCTCAGGCATTTGAGACATAATGTCTGGAGAGCTGAAAATGGGCTCCAGATACAGCCACGTGGCTTGGACTTTGAGCCATTCATCCAGAATCTCCTGAAGCAGTAGGAGCTTGCCCTCCCATTCTCTGAGGAGCAAAACACAGTGGCTCTTACTGACAGCAAACCAAGCAAATGTTTCAAATGACAAAATTCAAACCACAACTAGGTTGTCAATGTTGTATATAATGTTATACAATTGTTATACATTATATACAATCTTGTATATAATGTTATACAATTGTTATACATTATATACAATCTTGTATATAATGTTATACAATTGTTATACATTATATACAATCTTGTATATAATGTATATAATATTCCAATTTCCATTCATCTAGTTGCATTTAAAGATAAATCACTAGATTTGTTCTACAAAATATGTTTAAAGATAATAATATAACATTTATGCTTATAGAGATATACACGTTAAGATATACTTATCTACTATTGGGCTGGTTTCTGTATATGTCATAGCAATAAACCTTTCTGCTATCTAGTTCCATGGCTAGAGAGTACAAATTGAAAAATGAGATTTTGTTGACAGTAAAGGTATTCCCAATCAAGGGTACTCTGAGCTTCTGAGGAAAGATAGTTACATCCAATACTCTTTTCCTTTAATGTTCTTTTTCCCCCCTTAATTTGGGCTCATAAAGGCTTTATTTCTAGAATAAAGCCCTTATTTCTAAAATATAGTTGACCCTTCAACAACACAGGTTTCAACTGTGTAGGTCCACTTTTACACGGATTTTTTTCAATAAAGGTTACATGGACTTTGCCTGACTCTCCTGTCTCCCCTAACACCCTCTCCCCCTCTTCTGCTTCTGCCATCCCTGAGATAAGAAGACCAACCCCTCCTCTTCCTCCTCCTCCTCAGTATACTTGGCATGAAGATGACGAGGATGAAGATCTTCATGATGATCCACTGGCACTTAATGAATAGTAAATATATTTTTCTCATGATTTTCTTAATAACATTTTCTTTTCTCCAGCCTACTTTAAGAATATAGTATATAATACATGTAACATTCAAAGTATGTGTTATGTTATTTTTAAGGCTTCTGGTTAACAGTAGGCTATTTGTAGTTAAGGTTTTGAGGAGTCAAAAGTTATATGCAGGTTTTCAACTGTGTGGGGGGTCAGCGCCCCTAAAACCCCAAATTGTTCAAGGGTCAACTGTATTTCAATTTATAAGATGTAACTGGCATTTAAAGAAAAATGTACATACTCCAAAACAGTGTGGCACTCATGAGAAGGTGGAATATTTAAATTTACAATAGGTTATCAGTTTGTTTCTAAGTATAGAGAATATAGATAATGATTTAATTTCCTCAAGAATAAATATAATTACTCCATAAACTAATAATTTTACAAGTACATTTCTAAGGTCTCTATGTGTTTAGTCCATTATCATGTCAACCCTATGAGGTAAGGTCCATTGTAACATCTATTTATCAATGGAGAGACTAAGGCACATAGAGGCAAGTGCCAGGCTCAAGTTTAGCCAGATAATAAACAATAGAGCCAAGATTTGAACCCAGACAGTTGTAATTACTCTGCTATCAGAGATAACATAGTCATAAGGAAGAATGATTTATTAATAGCAACTTCGTTTGAATCCAGGAGGCGGAGGTTGCAGTGAGCTGAGATCGTGCCACTGCACTCCAGCCTGGGCAGCAGAGCAAGACTCCATCTCAAATTAATTAATTAATTAATTAATTTAATTAAATAGCAACAGAACTTAGATGTGGCATAGTCTTACGTATATTAACACATTACTCATCATTTAAGTGGTGCTCTGTGATTTTAGATCTTTAAAACAAAGAAATGTTAATGAGTTCACCAAGTAACCAGGCATTTTCAGATGTCTTTCTAAAATATTTTTCTTTCAATGCTTATCACTGAATTTGTTTAACCTCTTTGCACAAGAAGACCTGAATGCTTCTGCTTTCTTCTGTTGTTCTTCTTCCCTCTTTTTCTATCTAATTTTTGTGTGATTCAGAAAATTTCCAAGCAGCTAATGATATCACGCATAGTCCCTTAAAATGGAATCTAGATGTACCACTTTCAGAGTAGTTTAAAAATTCTTCTCTTAATGTGCATGCTGGAGCAAGCTGGCAGGAGGCAGAAGGACCAAACACAGAGAATGAGCCAAGACCAATCAGAACATGCCCAAGTGTACGATAACACCTAAGTCACCAGAGGCAGATACTACCAAGCTGTTAGCATTCCCTTGCCATGCAAATCCACTGAAGACAGTAGTCTGATTTTGATGGACTCTGTTTTTTTAAGGTAATATATAGCCTGCCTAATGTAAATTACAAAAACTGGAAACATTGACAGACAGCTAGGCTTACTTTAATTGGCTGTGTATGATACTTAAAACTCCCAACTAAAATTATAGTTTCATTCTTTTTCACTTACTTGCCATCCCGCATGCATATGAGTAGAAATTACAATAGATATTCAGCAATCTTCTATGACAAGCTAATGTATTTTTAAAACAAAATTATTATCTTCCGTTCACAGATACAAAATTATTTTTGAGAGTTAAAAAATAAGATCATATTGTAGGCAATAAAAACGAATATCTGGATGTTGATTGTCCACTGTCTTTGTTATGAATACAGAAGTTAACAAACCATTAAGATGATAGCAAAGGATGAGCAATCGTCCAATAGCAATGAAGCCATTGATTATAATATCTTTAAATATTTAAAGACCTTAAATATTTAGTATGAAATGCTAAGTATGAAATGCAAAATCAATTCTCAAAAGAAATAAAATATTAAGTATGAAATATTATGTGTGAAATAATTCTCAAAAGAACTTTACATTAAACACAAGTGATTTTGGTAACATAGCATAAACATTGCCATATAAATATCACTTTACCTCATTTGTTTTTCATAAGGCTTAATGAAAGGAGATCCTCGCATAGTTTGTGTTTTAATAATATGGTCATCCAACAACATCTGAATTTCATCAACTGATGCCAAAATAAATGTCCCAGTTTCTCTATAAGAATGGATGACAAATTCCACTGCATCCCACTCAGTAATCATCTTCTCCATCGCCTTTTCAAGAGAATATTCTTTGCTAGCTGCTTCACTAATACCTTCAAATCGGTCTATATATGGTTCCAGATTCATGTCTAAAAAAGAGGAGACTGTGGAGTCATCTGATGGCTGCAAAGGGTAACCAACAATGGCAGACATGGCCTCCCAGTGCCTGGGGCGCAAACCAGGATTACAGATCACTTGAATGAGAGGAATGTGCTGCTTGAAATCTTCCACCTTTGATCTTACTTTTTTTGTCATTGCCAATGCATATGGAGAATCATGAAAGGTTTTCTCCAGTTTATATAATCCTCTCCAGTAATTTCCAATATCTGCTTCTACTTGGTCTGGATTCACTTTATGATATGGCCCTTCTGTCCATGCTCTATAGTTGCTGCTAAATTCGACAGCAGTTTCATAAAGACGAAGATAAGGGTTCAAGCCATCTTGGATTTTTTTACGTTGAGGATATACAGATGGTAGCCAACCAAATGCTTCCTCTTCAGCATTAAACTGCTCAATCTGAAAGGATAAGTATTGAATATATTAGTTATTTTGAAAGTGAATGATACTGCAAATTAAGTTTTTTTAAATATCTATTTCAAATGTGAGCCAAAAAAACCTTACTAAGCCCTGAAGTTAAACTTCAATAATCTAGAAAAACAGAGCAGTAATCTCATTTTCCTATTTACTTCTTTTTTTAATTGACAAAAATGTACATATTTATGGTACATAACATGTTTTGAGAAAATGTATAATTATGGAATGGGTAAATAAAACTAATTAACATACATTACCTCACACACTGATTTTTTTGTAATAAGAACACTACACAACCTACTCTCTTAGCAATGTTCACGTATACAATACATTGCTATTAGCTGTAGTTACCAATTTGTACAATAGATACCTAAACGTATTCCTCCTAACTGAAATTTTTTATCCTTTGACCAACATCTTCCCCAATCCCCACTACCCACCAGCCCCACCCTTGTAGGCATCATTCTACTCTCTGCTTCTATGAATTTGATTTTTTATTAGATTCCACTATAACTGAGATCATGTGGTATTTGTCTTTCTGTGCCTGGAATATTTGACTTAACATAAGTCCTCCAGGTTTATCCATGTTGTCACAAATGACAGGATTTCCCATTTTTATTCCCCCTCTAAGGCTGAATAGCATTCCCCTATTTCTTTTTTATTACAGTTTTCAGAGAACAATGTCTGGTTACATTAGTTAAAATAGTTAATGCACATTTACATATATAAAGAAAGAGTTTTTGTCTGTCTAGACACATTGAGGACACAGCATCATTCTTTAGTTAACAAGAACTTAAATATTTTTTAATACACACAGCATTGTGTTAGGTACTGTGGAAAATAGAAAAAAAGTATTATATTGCAAAATACTAACTCCAAGGAGTTAGTAATCCAGCTCAGGAGAAAATATATACATAGGTGAAAATTTAACTAATTTTTCAATAATAATAATATAAAGCAATAGAAAAGACATCTCAGCGAAATAAATTTAAAATGAATAAAATATACTATAAAATGCTAACACCCAGAGTTGAGAGAGAGTGCTGAAATACTGCAGTCACAGATGCTTCTGTAAAGAAAATGAAACTCGAGTTCAGTCTTGAACACTTCCTCTTACTTTAGTTGTGAAATATGTGAGGATATGGACAGTTGAGAAGAGAACTGAAAAGTGTTCGTTAGCTAAATACATGGGTTACGAGGTTACTTAAAATTTCAGTGGCCTCAGTTTTTAAAAAAATATTTGTGGGTACACAGAAGTAGGTGTATATACTTATGGTGTACATGAGATACTTTGATAGCGGTATACAATGCCTATCATATGTTAAATGGGGTATCCATTCCCTCAAATATTTATCCTTCGTGTTATAAACAATCCAATTATACACTTTTGGTTGGTTGGTTGTTGTTGAGACAGTCTTGCTCTGTCACCCAGACTGGAATGCAGTGGCAAGATCTCGGCTCACGCAGCCTCGACTTCCTGGGCTCAAATGATCCTCCCACTTTAGCCTCCCAAGTAGCTGGGACTACAGGCACATGCCACCATGCCTGGCTAATTTTTGTAATTTTAGTGGAGATAGGGTTTCACCATGTTGCTCAGGCTGGTCTCAAATTCCTTGGCTCAAGTGATCTGCCTGCCTTGGCCTCCCAAAGTGCTGGGATTAGAGGTGTGAGCCACTGTGCCTGGCCCTGTTTTAGGTTATTTTTAAATGTGCAATTAAATTATTGTTGACAAATACTAGACCTTATTTATTCTTACTATTTTTTGTACCCACTCAACGTTCCTACTTATCCCCTACTCCATCACTACCCTTCCCAGCTTTTGGTAACCATTCTTCTACTCTGTATCTCCATGAGTTCAATTGTTTTACTTTTTAGCTCACACAAGTTAAGTGGGAACATGCAAAGTTTGTCTTTCTGTGCCTGGCTTATTCATTTAATATAATGACTTCCAGTTCCATCAGTGTTGTTGCAAATGACAGAATCGTCTTGTTTGTTATGGCTGAATAGTACACCATCGTATACAGATACCACATTTTCTTTATCTATTCATCTCTTGCTGGACACTTAGGCTTCCAAATCTTGGCTATTGTGAACAGTTCTGCAACAATCATGGGAATGCAGATATCTCTTTGATATCTTGACTTCCTTTCTTTCGGGTATATACCAGCAGCGGGACTGCTGGATGATATGGTAGCTCTAGTTTTAGTTTTTTAAGGAAGCTGCAAACTGTTCTCCATAGTAGTTGTACTAACTTACCTTCCAATCAACAGTGTAAGAAAGTTTCCTTTTCTCTACATCTTTGACAGCAGTTATTGACTGTTTTTTGAATAAAAGCCATTTTAACTGAAGTGACATGGTATCTCATTGTAGTTTTGATTTGCATGTCTCTGATAATCAATGATGTTGAACACCTTTCCAAATGTCTATTTGCCATTTGTATGTCTTCTTTTGTGACATGTCTCTTCACATCTTTTGCCCATTTTAAATTCAGGTTATTAGAGATTTTCCAACAGAGTTGTATGATCTCCTTATGTATTCCAGTTATTAATCCCTCATCAGATGGGTAGTTCGCAAATATTTTCTCCCATGCTCTGGGTTGTCTCTTCATGTTGTTTATTGTTTCCTTTGTTGTGCAGAAGTTTTTAACTGGATGTGATCCCATTTGTCCACTTTTGCTTTGTTTGCCTGTGCTTGTGGGGTATTACTCAAGAAATTTTTGCCCAGTCCAAATTCCTGGAGAGTTTCTCCAATGTTTCTTGTAGTAGTTTCATAGTTTGAGGTCTTAGATTTAAGTCTTTAATCCATTTTGATTTGATTTTTTATATGGTGAGAGATAGGGGTCTAGCTTCATTCTTCTGTATATGAATATCCAGTTTTCCCAGTACTATTTGTTGAAGAGATTGTCTTTTTCCCAAAGTATGTCCTTGGCACTTTTCTCTAAAATGAATTTACTGTAGATTTATGAATTTGTTTCTGGGCTCTCCATTCTGTTCCATTGGTCTATGCGTCTGTTTTTCTGCCAGTACCATGCTGCTTTGGTTACTAAAGCTCTGAATCCTAATTTGAAACTAGGTAATGTGATTCCACCAGTTTTGTTCTTTTTGTTCAAGATAGCTTTGGCTATTCTAAGGTTTTTGTAGTTCCATAAAAATTGTAGAACTGTGGGGATGGGCAGGAGACAAAAAAAATTTAGGAGTGTTTTTTCTATTTCTGTGAGGAATCTCATTGGCATTTTGATAGGGATTACACTGAATATGAAGATTGCTTTGGGTAGTATGAACATTTTAACAATATTGATTCTTCAAATCCATGAACATGGAATATACCTTTTTATGTGTCACCTTCAATTTCTTTCATCAATATTTTATACTTTTCATTGTAGAGATCTGTGGCTTCTTTGGCTAAATTAATTCTTAGGTATTTAATTTTATTTGAGACTATTGTAAATGGGATTACTTTTATTTCTTTTTCAGATTGTCCACCTTTGGTATATATAAATGCCACTGATTTTTGTATGTCAATTTTGTATCCTGTAACTTTACTGAATTTATCAGTTCTAATAGTTTTTTTTTTTTTTTTTTTGGAGGAGTCTTTACATTTTTCCAACTACAAGATCATATTGGCCGGGCACGGTGGCTCACGCCTGTAATCCCAGCACTTTGGGAGGCCGAGGCAGGCGGATCACGAGGTCAGGAGTTCGAGACCAGCCTGGCCAACATGGTAACACCCCATCTCTACTAAAAATACAAAAAAAAAAAAAAAATTAGCCAGGCATGGTGGCACGCGCTTGTAGTCCTAGCTACTAGAGAGACTGAGGCAGAAGAATCGCTTGAACCCAGGAGGCAGAGGTTGCAGTGAGCCGAGGTCACGCCACTTGCACTCCAGCCTGGGTGACAGAGTGAGACTCCGTCTCAAAAAAAAAAAAAAAGTTCATATCATCTACAAACAAGGAAAATATGACTTCTTCCTTTCCAGTTTGGATGCCCTTTATTTCCTTCTCTCATTGGACTGCTGTAGCTAGTACTTCCAGCACTATGTTGACTCACAGTGGTGAAAGTGGGCATCCTTGATGTGTTCCAGATTTTAGATAAAAGGCTTTCTTTCAGTTTTTCCCCATTCAGTATGATACTACCTGTGGGTCTGTCTTTTATGGCTTTTATTATGTTGAGGTATGTTCCTTCAATAGCCAGTTTTATGAGGGTTTTCATCATGAAGTGATGTTGAATTTTGTTATATGCTTTTTCAGCACCAATTGAAATGATCATATTATTTTTGTCGTTCATTCTCTTTATATGATGCATCAAATTGATTGATATGTTTATGTAGAACCATCCTTACATCCCAGGATAAATTACACTTGATCATGATGAATGATGTTTTTAATGCATTGTTGAATTCAGTTTGCCAGTATTTTGTTGAGGATTTTTGCCTCAATGTTCATTAGGGATATTGGCCTAAAGTTTTCTTTTTTTGATGTGTCTTTGTCTAGTTTTGGTATCAAGGTAATACTAACCTCCTAGAATAAATCTGGAAGTATTCTCTCCTATATTTTTCAGAATAGTTTGAGTAGGATTGACATTAGTTCTTTTGTAAATGTTGGCTAGAATTTAGCAGTGAAGCCATTGGGTCCTGGGTTTTTCTTTACTGGGAGATTTTTTTATTATGCATTCAATCTTCTTACTTGTTGTTGGTCTGTTCAGGTTTTGGATTGCTGCATGGTTCAATCTTGGTACTTTGTGTGTATCTAGGAATTTAAGCATTTCCTCGAGATTTTCCTATTTATTGGCATACAGTTGCTCACAGTAGCCACTATTGAGCCTTAGAGTTTCTACAGAATTAGTTGTAATGTCTCCTTTTTCATTTCGATTTTACTCATTTGGGTCTTCTCTCTTTTTTTCTTGGGTAGTCTAGTTAAAGGTTTATCAATTTTATTTTTTCAAAAACTTTTCATATCATTAATTTTTATTGTTTTCTTCATTGCAATTTTTAAATTTCTGCTCTGGTGTTTATTATTTCTTTTCTCTACTGATTTTGGGTTTGGTTTACTCTTGCTTTTCTAGTTCCTTAAGGTGCATAATTAGATTTTTTTGTTTGTTTGTGTGTTTGTTTTGGTGTAGGTACCTATAGCTATAAATTTCCCCCTTAGCACTGCTTTCACTAGATACCATATGTTTTGTTATGTTGTGTTTCCATTATCATTTGTTTCAAGAAATTTTTCCATTTCCTCTTAATTTTTTCATTGACCCCACCGCTCATTCAGGAGCACATTGCTTAATTCCTATGTGTTTGTATAGTTTCCAAAATTCTTGTTATTAATTTCTAGTTTTATTCCACCGTGGTCAGAGAAGATGCTTGATATCATTTCCTTTTTTAAAATGTTTTAAACCATGTTTTGTGACCTAACATATGGTCTATCCTTGAGGATTACCCATATGCTGAGGAGAAGAATTCGCGTTCTGCAGCTGTTGGATGAAATGTTCTGTAAATATTTATTATGTTCATTTGGTCTACAGCATAGATTAAATCTGATGTTTCTTTGTTGGTTTTCTGTCAGGGACATCTGTCCAGTGCCAAAAGTGAGGTGTTTAACTCTCCAGCTATTATTGTATTGAGGTCTATTTCTCTCTTTAGCTCTAATATTATTTGCTCTATATATCTGGGCACTCCAGTGTTTGTTGCATATAAATTATAATTGTCATACCCTCTTGCTGAATTGATCCTTGTATCGTTATATAATACTTTGTGTCTTCTCACAGTTTTTGTCTTGAAGTCTATTTTGCCTGATACAAGCATTGTTACTCCTGGTAATTTTTTGTTCCCATTGGCATGGAATATATTTTTTCAACCTTTTATTTTCAGTCTATGTGTGACTTTATAGGTAAAGTGTGTTTCTTGAAGGCAACAGACCACTGGGTCTTGCTGTTTTTTTTAAAAAAACCATTTATCCATGCTATATCTTTTGATTAGAGAAGTTAGTCCATTTACATTCAATATTATTATTGATAAGTAAGGAGTTACTTCTGCCATTTTGTTTTATGTTTTCTGGTTGTTTTGTGGGCTTCTCTTGCTTTCCTTCCTTCCTATCTTCCTTTTAGTGAAGGTGATTTTCTCTGGTAGTATGTTTTAATTTCTTACTTTTCATTTTTTGTTTATCTGTTGTATATAGTTTTTTATGTTAGATTACCATGAAGCTTGAAAATAATATCTTATAACCCATGATTTTAAACTGAAGACAATACTGATTGCATAAATAAGCAAAAAGGAGACTAATTTAAAAATCTACACTTTGACTTCATCCTCCTGCTTTTTAACTTTTTTTGTTTCTCTTTATATCTTTTTGTACTGTTTATATCTTGAAAAGTAGTTGCATTTATTATTTTTGATGGGCTCATCGTTTAGTCTTTCTACTTAAGACATGAGTAGTTTACATACCACAATTAAACAGTATTATAATAGTCTATTTTTATGTGTGCTTATTATTACCAGTGAGTTTTGTGCCTTCAGATGATTTATTATTGCTCATCCTGTTCTTTCAGATTCGCAAACTATGGCATTTCCTGTAAGATAGGTCTGGTGTTGATGAAATCTCTCAGCTTTTGTTTGTCTGGGAAAGTCTGTCTTGCTATTTCATGTTTGAAGGGTATTTTCATGATATACTATTCTAGGGTACAAGTTTTTTCTTTCAGCACTTTAAATATGTCATGCCATTGTCCTGGCCTGTAAGGTTCCCACTGAAAAGCCTGCAGTCAGATGTGTTGGAGCTCCATTGTGTGCTATTTGTTTCTTTTCTCTTGCTGCTTTTAGGTTCCTTTATTTTTGACCTTTGGAAGTTTGATTATTAAATGCCTTGAGGTAGTCTTCTTTGGGTTAAATTTGCTTGGTGTTCTATAACCTTGTACTTGAATATTGGCATCTTTCTCCAGGTTTGGTGTTCTATTCTACTAAGCTTGAACCCAAACCACAAGACAAAATCCTTCCCACCCTTCCCTCCTCTTTCCACAAGTGGAAGAGCCTCTCCTGCTGCTGCCACCACTGGCCCATGGGCAGTTCTGCCAGGCCACTGCCAATGTTCATTTAAGGCCCAAGCACTCTTCAGTCAGCTTGTGGTGAATACTGTCAGGCCTGGGACTCAGCCTTCAGGGCAGTGGGCTCCCCTCTGGCCCATGGCAGGTCCAGAAATACTGTCTAAGAGCCTAGGCCTGGACTTGGGGGCCCCAAGGTCCCACCTGGTTCTCTATCCCAGTGTGGCTGAGTTGGTACCCAAAGCCAGCATGTATCAGAGTCTCACCTAAGGCCCATAGCATACCACCTGGATATCACTATTGGTTATTCAGGGCCTAAGGGCTCTTTAGTCAGCAGGTGATGAATCCTGCCAGGATTGTGTCCTTCCCTTCAAGGCCTTCAAGGCAGTGGGTTCTCTTCCAGCCCAGGGTATGTCTACATATGTCATCTGGGAGATAAGGCCCGAAATGGGGGCCTCACAACCCTGCACGTTGCCCTGCCCTACTGTGGCTGAGCTAGTATCCAAGATGCAAGACAAAGCCGTCTTTTCTCTCCTCCCTACTCTCCTCAAGCAGAAGGAAGGAGTCACCTTCATGGGTGTGAGCTACACTGCTTAGGGTTGGGAGAAGCATGGCATAAGCACTTCCTCAGCCACCCTGCATGGTGTCTCCTTAGGTCACATGTTAACCCAGTTCACCAGCTCTAAGCCCAGGACAGCATCAGGGCTTGCCTAAGAATTCCAGTCCTTGTAACCTAGACTGTCTTTTAAATTCACTTAGGACTCCAGAGCACTTTAGCCCACAGTGGCACGGCCTGCTGAGAAATTCAAGTTCTGACCACTGGGATGGGTGCTTCCCTGCTGGCTATGTCTGGTCCAAATGCTCTCTGTGTGGGTAGGTGCCAGCTGAGGTCAGAACAGTTTTGCTTTCTGCTGCAACAGGGCAGCACTGAGTTCAATGCAAAGTCCCCCAGTCACTACGCTGTCCCTCCCCGACGTGTACAGATTCTCTCTCTGCACCACATGGGTGTTATTGGGGAATGCGGAGGGGCAGCATCAGCGTTTCAAGACTGTTTTTCCTGTTTTCAATGCTTCTTTCAGTGATATGAAGTTAAAACCAGGTAACGTGATTGCTCACCTGATTTTTGGTTCTTATGAAGGTGATTTTCTGTGTGCAGATAATTGTTAAAACTTGGTTTCCTGTGGGTGGTGGGGGGAGCAATCAGTGGAGGCTTCTATTCAGCCATTTTGTTCCACCTCAGTGGCCTTGGTTTAAAATAACTACAGAGTTTTTATTTTCTCCACGTATGTTGACATATTTGTGATTATTATAAAACAATTACCTGAACTAATAAGATATTAAGATCTTTCAATGTAAGAAAAATGATAGAGCATCATAGTTAATCATATGTTTTCATTCTCCTTTTCATATAAAATACAATTAAACTCTGTAAATATCTTATATGGCAAAGGGTATGGCTCTTTTTCCTCCAGCTTCCTCTAATGAAAAAGCTGATTTCTGAAACGGTAGTATTGGGAACAAAATTGCTTGGTGAGAGAAAATAATGGACCTTATTTTAAAACAAGACCACTAAATCTAAGCTGTCCTCTATGAAGATGGAAGAACTAAACCGTAACCAGGTACTATCATTTGCCTGCTTCTGCTCAAAACTATGGACTCCCAACTATCATAGTAGAACTATGATGCAAATAATTAAATGATGCAAAGCAAAGTTTAAAAAGAAGACTGAGATATAACTCTATCTTTAACATAGGAAAAAAATGTATCACTACCAATAGAAAACAGCAATACTGCTATTCCTTGAAGCATGTCTATAAAATCTATTTGTGTCATTCTATTATCCTCTAATTAAATGTGGTTACTGTTTTATTTGAATCTACTTCTTAAAGGTGAATAACTAAAACGAATTCAATGCTTTTTCAATTGAACTAATTCATCTTTTTAAGAATTTTTGAATTATACCTTATCTGCAGCTAAATCCAACTTTCCATTCAGTATTTGAGCCTTTTTTAGGTACCGCTGAACATCCTGAAGATCTCCAAATGAATAAAATTCTTCTGATTGCTTAGCATAACTCTCCAATTCCTCCACAAACCGTTCACACCGTAACTAATAAAAACAATTTGTTGTTAATATTCTTAAAAGTTAAAACCCCTTGCTGTCAAAAAATTTTAACATTGTAGGAGTTATCAGAATTATTATTATATTTTGTCACTGGTAAAACATAAAAGGATGATCTGGAAAATGAACGAGATCTAAAATATGCAGAATTGTAAAACTTTAAATTAATGGATTTAGATTCCTCTAACTCACAGATTAGAAAAAGTCAACTCTGTATTATCTATGTAAGAAGTTCTAGCTAATAAAATTAATAAAAATGTTAGACAATGGTGATCTTTAATATGCTGAAGAATTTATGCAAACAAATAATTTATCAGCATTTGAAAAATCTCTTAATAATCAAGAATGGGACTAAAAGAAAATTTCAATTTTTACCTATGCTATTTTTATAAACTGAAAAAAACGGAATTTCTTTAATTGTACTCTGATATCATTTCAATCAGCAATACTAAAGCAAGATATTCCAAGGTTATTTTTCTTGTCCAATGGGCTCTCTTCACAAGAAACACGTAAGGTAAATAAATCCAGATTTAAACACTTAAAAACTATAGTGTTCTAATATAAGATAGGTATGTATGTTTTAAGTAAAAAAGCCTTATTACATAATTGGTATTGGTAAGGCATTCCAAATTAAATGGCTCTAAAAAATAGCTCAATAAAATATTCAAAAAATTTAGGTTATTCAAAAATAGATTTTCTATTTTATAGATTATCTAGGCTGATTTATGTCCTCTTTTCTCTAGTTTCCTGGCAAACTTATTGCTCTAGCCCAGTCGGGGAGGGAAAATGAGAGGAAAAGTTCATCAACAGTGTGTGTAGTTTGTGGAATAGTATACTTTAAAACATAGCATAAATAATTCTGGGCCACTTAGCAATTTTCCAAGAGCCTATTTTACTGAAACTTAAACATCTAATATTTACTACTCATGATGTTTTCTGCAGTTTTTAAAAAAATCTGATATACCCTTAATGTAAAACAAAAATACAAACTACAGTTTAAAATGAAGAGTTTTTTAAGCCTATGAATTATTCTCCAAACAACATATTTTGCCAATTATATTTGCTATAATGTAATAGAAAGAAAGCATGGCTTGCTATTAAAGGACATCTGTACTGGCTGACCTAGAACAAGTCTCTTAATCTTTGGGAAACTTACTCTTCCACCTGTAAAATGAGACTGTAAATATTAAGTCATTTACTAATACAGTAGCTATGGAATGCTCACAGCATTTCTGTGTGTCAGTCACTGTGCTGGGAAGTGGATATAAATGGAGAAATGTAATAATGAAACAGCCCTGCTCTCAAGGAGCTGATGATCCCATCAGGAGGCAGACTTACAAACACTAACATAATGATCAGATAATTGTCCGATAGAGATGTGGTCAAAGTGAGAGCACAGGAGAGAACAAGTAGCACTGAGGTCTGCTGAGAGGGCTTCTCAGAAAAATGAATAGAGTGTGCTAGATGAACAAGCACATGTGGGGCGGGGGTGTGCTCAGAGTGATGGGGAGAATGTGCAGGAGACAAGAAGCATAGGAGAGCAGACATCTAGAAGTTGACAGGGTTACTGAAAAGTCATGAGTGAGGAGTGGGGAGAAGTAGGCAATGAGGCTGGACAGTGAAATGGGCAAATCATAAATCATCTTATATGGAAGACTGCCCCCTCCCCCCCAAGAAAAAAGCTGGAGTTACTGAATGTTAGAGTGACGATTCTGGGCACAATGCTCATGAGAGTGAGCAATTATGAGGTATGAAAGCACATTTCATCAAGGGAGCTTTGATATTCAAACAAGTTTTAAAAACCGAAAATAGTACTATAAATTATGTAAGATAAATACTATTTTTATTAACTATCACCTATGCATGATATATTCCATTTTTTTCACATTATCTTGAAAAATCAAGAAATGACTGCATATTGATCAATATACTACTGACTCCTTAATCATCCAATAAGCATTATAAAAGATCCAATATATTACTGTCTCCCACTAATATTTATAGTGAGATTATAGCATTATAGTATGAGAAAGCTAAAAAAGTATGCACTCAAATAAAATAATTGACAATGCTACATAAAAAGATAAAAACAAAACATTTCCAGAAAATGAAAATAAAATATCTAAGATGCCAACCTTCAGACCTTCTTGATATTGTTCTATTTTCTCTTTAATGATTTTCCTGTGTTCTTCAAAAATTTCTCCCATCCTTCCATACCACTGGAAAACACTATTATTTAGCCTCATGTCTGCTGGAGAAAAGTTGACATACTCGAT
This sequence comes from Homo sapiens, assembly GCF_000001405.40. Classification (NCBI taxonomy): domain Eukaryota; kingdom Metazoa; phylum Chordata; class Mammalia; order Primates; family Hominidae; genus Homo; species Homo sapiens. The sequence goes on from NC_000002.12 coordinate 195,972,383, forward strand.
GAGGAAGGCGAGGCAGTTTTTGGAATCCACTAATCTCTGTTCTAGTTCAATCATATCAGTTACCTCCACTTTCTGAATGTAAGCCTGAGGGAAAACAAAAATTACAGGTGACATTTTAACGAACAGCTCATGTCACGAAACAGCCTGCGGAAATACACTGTATAACTATGCACAGACTTATTAGAAGTCAACACTTTTGGTTCAAAATCAGGGACTACAGCATAGTTTCCTTCTCATCCCTCCCAAACATCTCACTAAAATGACAACAACAAAAAAAAAGAAAAAGAAAGAAAATGCTCAACAACACATGGAAAACCAGGGAGGAGTGCTGTGGGTTCACAGAAGATAGATATGAAGCAGATACTATCTGAGTGAAGAGTTACTCTTTCAGAGTAACATTTTATGGGCACCTGCTATGGGCCTGACACTGTGCCAGGTGCTGGCAATACACTGTGATGAAAGACAGACATGGGCTCTGCCCTCCCTGAGTTTGCAGTCCAGTTGGGGAGTCTCTTTTACCCAAATAACCACCAGAACAAATGTAAAACTTCGAGCTTGCAACAGAGACAACTGCTACACAGGCACACTGCTCGGAGCATATCATAAGGATGTGAAGTAGTGAGAGGTGGAGGGTAGTTCCCGTATCTTGGAGAAGCACAAATAGAAGGAAACGAGGGAATGAAACAAGTGGAGAGGGCTGCATGTGGAGAGAACATGGGCCCAGTGGCAAGAAGGAGCAAGGGTAAGGGGCTGAGGGGCCAGCAGCACTGCAGCAGAGTGGTAGGGCAGCAGACCAGAGTGGTAGGGCAGCAGATGGCTTTGTTTCATTTATCCCAGTACTGAATACTCAAGGACAACCAACATTTCTTCGTTAGTTCCAGTCCCCCTGGTACCAATACTTCTGGACTACCATTCAAGGTAATAGGAGCTCCTTTGTGTCATGGAATGAAATTCTTGTTTTATGGGTGGGTATTGGGCGCGTGGGAATGTGATAACCTAAACATGGATGCACTTTACTGTAAATTCCACTTTTTCCTCTTTCCCTGAACTGTTTGGACCTATACAGTTTTTTTTGTTTGTTGTTTTGTTTTTGTTTTTGTTTTTTTTGAGATGGAGTCTCACTCTGTCACCCAGACTGGAGTACAGTGGCACAATCTCGGCTGACTGCAACCTCAGCCTCCCATGTTCAAGCGATTCTCCTGCCTCAGCCTCCCAGGTAGCTGGGATTCAGGCATGTGCTAGGTTGTTTTTTGTTTGTTTTGTAATTTGAGTAGAGATGGGGTTTCACCACGTTGGACAGGCTGATCTCGAACTCCTAATCTCAGGTGATCCGCCCACCTCAGCCTCCCCAAATGCTGGAATTACAGGCGTCAGCCACCGCGGCTGACCCTTCCTTTGTATTTTTAAGAAAATATTAAAAATCGGCCGGGTGTGGTGGCTCATGCCTGTAACCCTAGGCTTTTGTGAGGTCTAGGCAGGCGGATCACCTGAGGTCAAGAGTTCAAAACATGGTGAAACCCCGTCTCTACTAAAAATATATAAATAATTGGACGGGTGTGGTGGCAGGCGCCAGTAATCCAGCTACTTAGGAGGCTGAGGCAGGCGAATTGCTTGAACCCAGGAGGCAGTGGTTGCACTGAGCTGAGATCACATCACTGCACTCCAGCCTGGGTGACAGAATGAGACTCCATTTCAAGAAAGAAGGGGAAGGGGAAGGGAAGAAAGAAAGGGAGAAGGAAGGAAATAATGAAGACCTAACAATGTTTTTGAAGGAGAAAGTTGCTTAGAAATTGTTCATTGATATATTATTCTAATTAGACTAAATGCTTTTATGTTGTAAATCCAAACCAACAGGATACAAACCATGGTGGTTTCCACAAGTAACAAAATGTCTAACTGAAAATATATTTTTGATAATTTAGTTAATCAGCTATCTATGTAGTCAAATGACTGGGATTTTTATTTCCCCTTACTGATAATAAAGGACTGATTTCTATACTGAATAAATTCACCAACTGTTTTGCCCTTGTGGTAATAATCTTTTTTAAAATATAGAAATATTTGAAATATCAGGCAATGAATCC